>NW_025791818.1:0-154929 GCF_000001405.40 Homo sapiens | reverse complement strand
CAAAAGGGGTTTCTGAGCATCATATACATTTTTAATCACAAAGTCATGTTCCATATTTTGAATGAACCACCCCTACGCACACACTTCCCCTTCTCTCTTGGGCAAAGGCTCCATTTCTGTTACCCCTCTTGACTTGTCAGATTTTCTGGCATGTCATTCTCATCCTACTGAACACAACTGGAATTTGTGTTGGCAGATTTTCTGCGCATGCTGGGTCAGTTAGAGAAGGAAAATTATTGTATTTGATTAAGATGTTTTCATTTTTGTTCTGTTCTGAAGGCAAATTAGGACTATCCGAATTAGTTTATTCTTTTAGTGTTGATTGTCTTAACTTTTGCTGCCAATCTGGATTTTGAATTCATATTTTTAATCATTCAAGGATTATTTTTGGATAAACCGATGTGGAATTCAATTTTACTTTCCAAATTACATAGCTCCAGAAGGATCTAGAGATTAGAAGGCTGAGCAACCTGTTTGTTATTAGCAATATGTCGTGCTCTACACTTTTACTTTAAGTATGATGTAAAAAAGCATCAGGAATCTTTAAGCCACAGGGGTCTTGACCTGGCAATTAACTCTCAGACCTAAATTATTCATCAATTTGTTTGTTCTTTGAACAAAGTTTTGAGTACCTGCTGCATGCCAGGCGTTATTCCGGTGCTGGAGTTGCCATGGTGAGTAAGAAAACATCTCTCTCTTAATTGAAGCTTATACATTAGTGGAACAAGCAAACTATTGGATTCATGATGTTAGGTATTGGTAAGTGTGATTAATAAAAATAGAGCAGGGTAAAGAACTAGCAAGATTTCAGGCATTCTGTTTTAGAAATTACAGTCAGAACAGTTTTCTCTGAAGATGTGTCATTTGAACAGAGACCTGAATGAAGTAAGAGTAAGCCATGAAGAGCAGCAAAGGCAAAGGTCCTGCGGTAGGGGTTGCTTGGTATGTCTGAAATATAGCAAGAAGGCTGCTGTGTTTGGATCATAGTGAGTTAGCAGAAGTTAGCAGAAGAAGGATACTAGAGGGTTCCAGGCCATGGTAAGGATAAGAATTGTTTCTAAGCATGGCACTTCTGTCATCTTTATCAATCAGTCATCACATTCATCAGCATTGTCAATTAGTGTCTGACCTCCTCACCCTGAATTGCCTTCAAATTACTTAACACACATTTTCTAGGCACCTGTTTTGACCTAGGCACTGCTTATTTTGCTTGGCTGTGGACAAAGGAAAAATAACACCTAGTCTTTGCCCTCTGATTGCTAACAGTCCAATGAGCGAATGCAGACATATGTGATATCACCATTTGCCTTTTGTTAGGACTACGGATCTTGAGAAAAGTATGAGACACTATGGGAATGCTTTCTGTGAATTTTCTCATTGTAAAGGAAGGATTGCAGCATTAATACCCCACAATAATAATTTCTTATATTCTAGAGTGTTTAATGTTTACAGAGTATCTTACATTACAGTCATGATCCTGACCAAAATGAGATAACTTTTATAAACACCCAACACAGTGCCTGACACTTAGAAGACATGTAGTACATGATAATTCACTTTTTCTTCACAACCATCCAAAGGTTGCTAAGGTTGCTATGTATCCTCAGTGATGAAGTAATGAGTTCATTGCTAAATAACCAATACATGGGAAATCAGGTTCTTGTTTTACAAGAACAGAGAATTGCTCAGATTACTTCACACTAGGGAGGGATTGATGTTGGGGTTATCAAGATTTGTGTCGAAATGAGCAGGAATCTCAGTGTAGGCGCCTAAAACAGCCATGTAGTTGGACTTTGTGAGGACTGGAAGGAGGTTTAGGGAAACTAAAAATTTTCAAACTTCAACACAGCTCTAGTGATTTATGACTTGGCAACTTTTTGCAAGAGAATTCCAGGGTGCCAGGAGAGGGGAAAGGTTGAGCAATATTGCTGCCTGGCTAAGTGCTTTCCCAAACGACATCTTCAGCTTCCAGGGACACCACAAGGAGTTCCAGGACAGGAGTTTATGATTATATTTGATGAATGCTTCCTATTTTGATTGGGAAGTTTTCCAGTTTACAAGATTGACTGGAATTGTAGACATGTGGGTACTGCCAGTGGAAGGAGAAATCAAGGAAACTACTCAAATAGCATGGCTTTTTTGGTTTGCATGTCAGCTTAGCACTGAGGAACTTGGTTCAGATAAGTTTGAATTACATCGTTCAGCATATGTAATTTGATACCTGAGTGGAAATTTGCATCAATTCCCAAGGGCTGCAGCTGAGAGCATTGCCAGGAGGAATTCTTTAAGGCTGAAAATATATCTTTAAATAGGCATTGTGCCTCCAGTTCCGCTCTAGAATCACCCATTGCTACAATGCCTGGAAAATCACAGGGAGTCCAGGGGACCTGGGAGAGTGGCTGAGCACAGCTTTTAGTAGTTAATTCCTCTATATTCAATTTTTCTCTGAGTACCTACAAGACCAACTGATTCAGAGTTCTGTGAAGAAGAGGACTTCTATTGTATCTGTAGCCACCTTTCCCTCATGGAAAGTCCTTTTTTTTCCCCTTTCACATTTACTAAGTACTTCCCATGAACCAGCTGCTGCTTTTCCTTAATCCTTAATCCACAAACAAATGGGTTGATTTGTCATCCTAAAGCTCAGCTCGATTTTATATCATTTGCCTGCTCAAAAATCTTAGTGTTCCTCTCCATAGCACCTAACAGAAAGCTTGATTTCTGCCCTGGGTTCTTGTCTTGATCATGGCGGTTACCTGTGACCTCTTCTTCCCTCGAGTTTCTGTGATTCTGGGATATGGCTCCCAGCTTAGCTTCTGATATTGATTTTTTTTTGTTCACTGCTGTATCCCTTGGTCAATAGAACAGCGTATAATCCATAGTAGACACTCAGTAAATACTGGTTGAGTGGATGGAGACAGAAAATGAAAAGAAATTGTTTGCCTAAATTACCAAGTCACAGCTCCCTGGAAGGATCTAGTTTTATCTGTGGTCCTTTGTCACTATTCATAAGAAAAAATGCTCAATTTCACATAAATAAGAACATTTCAAACTAAAACTGCACTGAGATATCATTTTCAACCCTCAGATTGAAAAGGGCGTAAATGCTTGATAGCATACTGTGTTGGCAGAGGCTTGAGAAAGCAGGCATTGTCACATGTGGGGATGTGAACTAATGTACTGTCAGAGGGCAATTTGACAGTATCTAACAAAATGAAAATTATATGCATCCTTTGATCCAGTGGTTCTATCTAGGAACTTTAAAAAATAAATATGTTATTCTGTTACCCTAGTCCTTTCAAACTCTCCTGAACAATGGTTTGATTCTTTTCTCCTGGAATGCCAACACCTCCTTTCCTGCCTCACTCTCAGCTGAAAATGATCTTGCTTTCTGCTTCACTGAGAAAACAGAGGCAATCAAAGGGAATCTCCACATACTATCAACATCTTTTCCACCTACCTGCATCTACACCCAGGACCTCTGTTCTGATCAGCATATAAACAAGCTGTAATTTCTTCAATCTTAAAGAAAAATTCTGATGTATCATACCAGCTTTGCTGTATTTTTCTTTCCCTCGAAAAATAATTCCCCGTACTAGCTGTCTTCAGTCCTTTTTTTTCCCAATTCCTCTTCAACTATTTCCCATCAGGCCTTCTTTCTCACCACTCTACTCAACTATTCTTGTCAAAGTTACCAGTCCCCTCCAGGTAACCAGATTACAAGAATGTTTCCTAGTCCTTTTTTATACTTGACCTATCTGCTTTATTCGATACAGTTGGTTCCTCCCTCTTCCTTGAAAAACTTTCTACACTTGGCTTCTAGGAAAGCCCACTTCCCTGATTCTCCTCCAACCATTTCGACTATTCCTTCTCAGAATCCTTTCCTGATTCCTCCTCATCTTCCTGACTTCTAAACGTTGGAATGTCCTAGAACTTGATGTCTTCTATATTTATATGCACTCCCTAGGTAGTCTCAACCAGTTGCATGACTTTCAATAGCGTATATATGTTGATGACTTCTAAATTATATTTAGTTGGTACCTCTGCCATAAACTCTAGACTTATAAATCCAACTGCCTATTAGACATGTCTATTTTAACGTCTAACATGCAGTCAGTTATGTTATAACTCTTGCTTTGAAAATTTGAATTTGTTTCAACACAATTGATATATTAGGGAACAATTTGACCATAATGCACATTTCACGTATGCATTATTTTGTTCAAGAAAAACACTAGGGGAACACAGAAAACTCCACCTGTAGTGAGCAGTGTAGGAATGCACAAAATGCACATGTGTGCACAACTCAAACATCTGTCAGCTACCTCAGTTTACCATGTGTGTTAGGAGCTACACCCATCCACATCTGAATTATGGTTAAGTCCTCAAAAGCAATTACAACAAAAATAAAAATTGACAAGTGAGATATAATTAAAGAGCTTCTGCACAGCAAAAGAAACTATCAACAGAGTAAAGAGACAACCTATAGAATGGGAGAAAATATTTGCAAACTATGTATCCAACAAAGGTCTAATATTCAGAATCTAAAGAATTTAAACAAATTCACAAGCAAAACACAACCCCAATAAAAATGGGCAAAGAACATAATCAAACACTTCTCAAAAGAAGACATACACGTGGCCAACAAATATATGAAAAATGCTCATTATCATTAATCATTAGAGAAATGCAAATCAAAACCATAATGAGATACCATCTCACACCAGTCAGAATAACTATTACTTAAAAGTCAGAAAACATCAGATGCTGGTGAGGTTGTTTATACACTCCTGGTGGAGATGTGAATAATTCAGCCACTGCGGACAGCAGTCTGGAGATTGCCAAAAGGGCTTAAAACAGAACTACCATTTGACCCAGCAATCTCACTATTGGGTATATGTGATGGTTAATATTAGGTGTCAATTTGATTGAATTGAGGGATTCCTATATAACTGGTAAAGTGTTGTTTCTGGGTGTGTTTGTGAGGGTGTTGCCGGAGGAGATTGACATTCGAGCTGGTGGACTGGGAGTGAAGACCCACCCTCAATGTGGCACCATGCAATTGGCTGCCAGCACAGCTAAAACAAAGCAGGTGGAAGAAAGGGGGATAGCTTGCTTGCTGAGTCTTCTGGCTCTCTTTTTTTCCCCATACCAGATGCTTGCTTCCACTCCTTATGCCCTTGCACATTGGACTCCAGGTTCTTCAGACTTTGGACTCTGGGACTTCCAGCAAAGTGGCTTTCCAGAAACTTTTGGGCCTTTTGCTGCACTATTGGCTTCCCTGGTTTTGAGATTTTTGGACTTAGACTGAGCCACTTTTGGCTTCTCTCTTTCCCCAGCGTACAGAATGCCTATTGTAGGAATTTGCCTTGTAGTAGTATGAGCAAATTCTCTAATAAACTCCTTTATATATAGACATCTATCCTGTTGGTTCTGTCTCTCTGGAGAACGCTAATACATACCCAAAGGAAAATAAATTTTTCTACCAAAAAGACACTTGCACTCATATCTTCACCACAGTGCTATTCACAATAGCAAAGACATAGAATCAATCTAGATGCCCATCCATGCTGGACAGAATAAAGAAAATGTGGTACATATACACCATAGAATACTATGCAGCCAAAGAAAAGAAGGAAATCATGTTCATTTCAGCGACATGGATGCAGCTGGAGTCCATTATCCTAAGCAAATTAAGCAGGAACGGAAAACCAATACTTCATAGTCCCACTTACAAGTGGGGGCTAAACAGTGAATACACATGGAAACAAAGATGGGAACAATAGATATTGGGGACTGCTTGAGGAGGGATGGTGGGGCGAGAGGCATGGGTTGGAAGGCTACCTATCACGTACTATGTTCACTACCTTGGTGATGGAGTCATTCATTCACTAAGCCTCAGTGACATGCAATTTACTCATGTAACAAACCTGCACATGTACCCACTGAACCTAAAATTTAAATATTAAAAAAGTCTTACTGTAAATTTACTGTACTGAAGACAGTATGGTGTACAAAGATGGACATATAGATAAATGGAATGGAATAGATAATCCATAAAGAGATGTGATTATGTGTTTCACCCAAGAGAGATGCAAACATATGTCCACAGAAAGACCTCATGAATGTTCACGTCTGGTTTATTCTAAATAGACAAATATGATAATAATCCAAATGCACATCAGCTGGTGAATGAATGGTCATATTGTGGTATATCTAAAACAATGAGATACTTCTAAGAAATAAATATGAACAGACTAATGATATGTGCAACAACATGGATGAATCAAGAAAGCATTACGCTAAGTTAAACCACATACAAAAGGGTATATACTATATGATTCAATTTATGTAATTTTCAGGAAATGACAAATCTATAGAGGCAGAAAATAGGTTAGCATTTGTTAGAGGCCGGGAGCTTGGGGAGAGGATTGAGTATGAAAGTCATGAGAAAACTTTTTGGGGGTGATGGAAACATTCTACATCTTAATTATGCTGGTGGTAATGTATATCTGTTTGTATATATTTGTCAAAAATCACATCATTGTACACTTATAAAGGGTGAATTTTATGTAAATTGTACCATACCACAATAAACTTAAAAAATAAAAATAAAATAAATATTGAGGTAGGTAATCTATAGTTGGTGTGGTTGCTCCATGATAGTATCATCAACCCAGGCTCAAACTTTTAATCCAACTTTTTCTTTCATCATTATGGCTGCAAGTTGCCTGCTACATTTATAGGCATTATGCCTGCATTCCTAGCAGGAAGAAGAACTAGGATAGCAGGAAGATGTGGTGTCTTCATTAGAAAAATGAAAAGCTTTCCCAGAAAACTTCAGCTTTTGTTTCATTAGCTAGAATAAAACCACATGGCCAACAGTTACTGCAAGTGAGCTTGATGAAGTGAGTTTTTTACCTGGACACATTGTCACCTCCAACAAAATATGGGTTCTGCTAGGGAAGAGAATCTTCTACTCTATCTTTAAAAAAATAGTCAATATAGTTTACTGTAAGAAATTTAGAAATATAGGTGGGTCAAAAGAGAAGAAAAAATGAACATTATTCCTAATCCTATAGTCCAACTATAGTAGTCAAATTCTGTTAGCTTTTTTACAAAAGATCTTGTACATTTTTTAAGTATATTTTTAAAGTAATAGTGCCTTGTACCTAACTGTAGCTTATTAAGTTTTCATTGAATGAATGTTGAGTAGGTTTTAATCAGGGAGAGAAGAAGGGAATGGTGAAAAGAGGAAAGAGTATGAGCATGTCACACCTTTGAAGCAGTATATAGTAAAGAGTATAATTAGACAAAACTGTATCCACAAATCTCTTTGAGACAGGCTTTTTTCTATCTTGGACCTCTGGGCTGCTGTGGAACAAGACTGTGAAGATTTTTAAAATCTCTGTTGTTTATGACAGGGGTCTAGAGGTATGCCATTAAGATCCTTAGAATGGTCTTTTGTTGGTACCTTGAGTTTTCTATAAGGAACTTATAGATTGATTTATAAGCACAGATCTTTCTGAGGTCTTAACTAAGGATCTTACTGAAATCCTGTCATCTGGCCAAGGATTTAATCTTTCCTCCTGATATAATTTGGCTCTTTTTCCCTACCCAAATCTCATCTTGAATTGTAATCCTCATGTGTGAAAGGAGGGACCTGGTGGGAGGTGATTGGATCATGGTGGCAGTTTCTCCTATGCTGTTCTCATGACAGTGAGGGAGTTCTATCGAGATCTGATGGTTTAAAAGTGGCAGTTTCCCCTAATCTCTCTCTCCTGCTGCCATGTAAGATGTACCTTGCTTCCCCTTTGCCTTCTACCATGATTGTAAGTTTCCTGAGGCCTCCCCAGCCATGCAGAACTGTGAGTCAATTAAACCTCCTTTCTTTATAAATTACTCATTCTCAGGTAGTATCTCTGTAGCAATATGAGAACAGACTAATACAGAGAATTGGTATCAGCAGAGTGGGGTACTCCTATAAAGATAACCTGAAAATGTGAAAGTGACTGTGGAACTGGGTAAGAGGCAGAGGTTGGAACAGTTTGGAGGGCTCAGAAGAAGACATAAAAATGTGGGGAAGTTTGGAACTTCCTAGAGAGTTGTTGAATGGTTTTGACCAAAATGCTGATAGTGATATGGACAATGAAGTCCAGGCTGAGGTGGTCTCAGATAGAGATGAGGAACTTATTGGGAACTGGAGCAAAGGTCACTCTTGCTATTTTTTTAGCAAAGAGACTGGTGGCATTTTGCCCCTGCCCTAGAGATCTGTGGAACTTTGAACTTGAGAGAGATGATTTAGGGTATCTGGCAGAAGAAATTTCTAAGCAGCAAAGCATTCAAGTTATGACCTGGCTGATTCTGAAAGCATTCAGTCATATGCATTCACAAAGAGATTATCAGAAACTGGAACTTTTATCTAAAAGGGAAGCAGAGCATCAAAGTTTGGAAAATTTGCAGCCTGATCATGTGGTAGATAAGAAAAACCCATTTTCTGGGCAGAAATTCAAGCTGGCTGTAGAAATTTGCCTAATTAATGAGGAGCTGAATGTTAGTCAAGACAATGGGAAAAATGCCTCCAGGGCATTTCAGAGACCTTAGTGGCAGCCCTTCCCATCACAGGCCCAGAGGCCTAGGAGGGAAAAATGGTTTTGTGGGCTGGGCCCTGGGCCCTGGTGCTCTGTACAGCCTCGGGACAGGTTGCCCTGTGTCCCAGCTGCTCCAGGTCCATCCATGGCTAAAAGGGGCAAAAGTATAGCTTGGGCCATTGCTTCAGAGGGTGCAAGCCCCAAGCCTTGGTGGCTTTCATGTGGTATTGGGCCTGCGGGTGCACAGAGGTCAAGAGTTGAGGCTTGGCAGCATCCACCTAGATTTCAGAGGATGTATAGAAATGCCTAGATGTCCAGGCAGAAGTCTGCAGGGGTGGAGCACTCATGGAGAACCTCTACTGGGACAATGCAGAGGGAAAATGTGAGATTGGAGCCCCCACACAGAGTCCCCATTGGGGCACTGCCTAGTGGAGCTGTGAGAAGAGGGCCACCATCCTCCAGATCCCAGAATGGTAGATCCACTAACAACTTTTTGCCATGAGCCTGGAAAAGCCACAGTCGCTGAATACCCATCTATGAAAGCAGCCACAGGGGCTGAACCCTGCAGAGCCACAGGGACAGAGCTGCCCAAGGCTGTAGGAGCCCACCCCTTGCATCGGCGTGCCCTGGATGTGAGACATAGAGTCAAAAGAGATTATGTTGGAGCTTTAATGAGTTCCTTTCCAGGTTTTGGACTTGCATGGGGCCTGTGGCCCCTTTGTTTGGCCAATTTCTCCCAATTGGGATGGGAACATTTACCCATTACCTGTACCCCCATTGTATCTTGGAAGTAACTAACTTCTTTTTGATTTTACAGGCTCATAGGCAGAAGGAACTTGCCTTGTCTCAGATGAGACTTTGGACTTGGACTTTTGGGTTAATGTTGGAATGAGTTAAGATTTTGGAGGACTGTTTGGAAGGCATGATGGTGTTTTGAAATGTGAGAAGGGCATGAGATTTGAGAGGGGCCAGGGGAGAATGATGTGGTTTGGCTGTGTCTCCACCAAAATCTCATCTTGAATTATAATCCTCATGTATTTAGCCTGGGACCTGGTGGGAGGTGACTGGGTCATGGGAATGGTTTCCTCCATGCTGTTCTTGTGATACTGAGGGAATTCTCATGAGATCTGATGGTTTAAAAGTGGCAGTTTCCCCTGGTCTCTCTCTCTGTCTCCTGCCACCATGTAAGCGGTGCCTTGCTTCCCCTTTGCCTTCTACCATGATTGTAAGTTTCCTAAGGCCTCCCCAGCCATGCAGAACTGTGAGTCAATTAAACCTCCTTTCTTTATAAATGACCCAGTCTCAGGTAGTATCTTTATAGCAGTGTGAGAATGAACTAATACCCTTCCTTAAACAGTTATTTCTATAACCAGCATACCCTGGCTGCTTTATGTTTCTTCCACATCTGCTTGAAAACTGAACAGTTCATCCTTTAGTTGATCACTCTAGATGAAGAGGAAGAAACTAGTTGCTATTTTTTATATCCTGCCTGGAAATCTTCCCAGCCATATTAATGAGTTGATTGGGCCCCAGATTTATTTTCAATGATGCCCAGGTGAGTGTTGGCAAGGGCCCCCTTATCTTTCCTCCAATAATGCTTTTCTCACTGTTTTCCAAGCCATGGTCTTCTCAAGGCCCTTCTAGCTTTTCATAACAGTTTTCCTGAGTCTCTTCCAACCTTAACTAATAGTCTATTTAATGTCCTTTTAGTTTCTGCCTGCTGTCTGGTCCCAATGCTGAAGCCACATGTGTTAGTTTTTGGTGAGACATCACTTCACTTTAGGTCCTAAGTTCCTTTTTAGTTTTCTATTGCTGTGTGAGAAACCACTTCATAATTTAATATTTTACCATTTAAAATACATTAGGATGACCGCTATTTAAAAAAAAAAACAAAAACAGAAAATAACAAGTGTTGGCAAGGATGTGGAAAAATTGGAAACCTTGTGAGCTGCTGGTTTGAACGTCAAATGGCACAGCTGCTCTGGAAAACAGTAAAGCAGTTCTTAAAAAATAAAAATAGAATTATCATGTGATCCAGCAGTTTCGGTTCTGGGTGCATATTCAAAAAACTTGAAAGCAGGATCTTGAAGATATATATATGTATATATATACACTTATGTTTATAGCAGCATTATTAAAAATGGCAAAGAGGTGCAGGCTACCCAAGTATCCATCAACAGATAAATGAATAAACAAAACATGGTTTATCCACACAATGGACTATTATATCATCCTTATAAAGGATGATAATTCTGGCATATGTTGCAACTTGAATGAAATTTGAAGATGTTATGCTCAGTGAAATAATCCAGTCACAAAAAGACAAATATTGTATGATTTCACTTATATGAGTTACCTAGCATAGCAAAATTCATGTAAACAGAAGGTAGAATGGTGGTTGCTGCAGGGGAGAGAAAAGAATATCGTTCAAAGGGTATAGAATTTCACTTTTGCAAGATGAGAACAGTTCTGGAGATTGGTTGCATGCCAATGTAAATGTACTTAACACCACTGAACTCTACACTTAAAAATAGTTAAGATGCTACGTTCTATGTTATGTGTATTTTGCCACAACTGAAATAAACACAGGATGCCAAAACAAAGTAATATTTTTTTAAAAAGCAATTTATAACCTTCTCTTACAAATCTGTGAGTTGACCAGATTCAGATTTGTGGTTCCTTTTTAAGGTATCTTTGGCAGTTGTAGTTAGTTGTTCAGCTGGGGCTACAGTCTTTTGAAGACTCAACTGGAGTAAATGTACAATATTGCTCACTCATATTACTGGTAGTTGATACTGGCCATTCATTGAGAGTTCAGCTGGGGTAGTTGACTGAAGTGCACACATATGGTCTCCACATGGCTTGGGATTCCCATAATATAATAACTAGTTTCAAGAGGGAGCTTCCTGAGAGACAGAATCACAAGTGTGCTTTTCTAAGGGAGCAAGGTTGAAGCTGCAAGACTTCTTCTGACCTGGCTAAGAAGTCATGCAGTGTCACTTCTACTTCTATTGGTGGCTAATGAATAACATATTCACCCAAGATTCAAGGGATGGAGCCTATACAATACCACCAATACCAAAAGGCACGCATCATTGGGGGCTCATTTTTAGAGACTAGCTACCACAGTATTACTGCAATGTAAATTTCAAGTTTGGCAGTAGCAGAAGATGTAACCGCAAAAGTAGGTAGGAATAAGTTGGTGAAGTTCTTTGAATAATAATGGAAGCTCTAGTGGATTAGAATGTTGTTTTCAACTATTCTAGTTTCTCTCTATATTAGTGTTTTTCATCCATGTGACTTTACCGTGCCACTTAGTGGGTGCAGTTTACTTCCCTGCCCCAATGACTTTCAGTTTAGTCATGTGATGAGTGGAGAGTTTTGGCCAATGTAATGTGAGCAAGTAAGAAATATGCCATGTCCCATTAGAGGTTTTAAATGTGCCCACACAGTTTGCTTTGGCCTTTTGTGCTCTTACCACCATCTATGAGAAGAACATATCCCCAGATAGCTGCTGTTTCTTCTGCCTGGGTTGTAGAATGAGACTGCTGTTTCTTCTGCCTGGGTCACAGAATGAGACTACATGGAGCACATTTGAACCTGAGCCCAGGTGAACCCTATCAAATCACAGCTGGCCTGAAGACCCTGAGCAACAAATGTTGAGATTGATGCGGGGGGTTTGTTTGTTCCTGCAGCAAAAGAACACAGTGACTAACATTTATGAGTACTTTTAGTATGACAGACATTTTGCCAAGCATCGTAAACTGATGACCTCATATAACCAATCATGTGTGTCATACTAATGAATTTAGATTTCATTTTATAAGTGGCTAGACTCTTTGAGGGAATTTAAGAGAGAGAGGAGATTGTCATATTGAAACTTATATGTTAGTAAGATCTTTCTGGCAGTGGCATAAAGGGCAGACTTGGGAGTAAGTCTGTTAAGAGGTTGCTGAAGAAGAATACATGAGATATTACGAGTGTCTAGACTAGGATAGTGATAGTGGAATAGAGAGAGATATGTGGATTTTAGAACTGTTTGGAAGAAATATTTATTTATTTTGAAAATATTTGATTTATTTGTAGCAGGCATATGCCAAGTGCTCAGGGAAACTGCAAATAGTTCAGTATGGAGCCTGGTGTGGGAATAGGGAGTGTTGGGAGATGAATCTCTAGTGACAAGCAGTATCTTGATCATGCGATATTCTATGTCATGTTGAGGTGTTTAGCCTTTATATCAAGGGCATTGGGCAACCAGTTAATTGTTTTGTTCAAATTTTGCACCTTAGGGGAGATAGAAAGGGAAAAATAAAGGCAAGGGGAACAATTGTAGGACTGTTGAAGTAAGTTCACAGATACTTATTGAACTCCAGCTATGTTCCAAGTGTTGTACTAGGCATTGGGGATATAATGTTGAATAAAAAGATAAAAATCTCTGCCCTCTTGGAACTTAGCCTTTTAGGGGTGGGAAAGATATTAAATATGTAGCAGTAAATAGTTAGACATGTTCTAAGTGTTTCAAAGGAAAAGCACATGATTCTGCGGAAGCCAGAGGAAGGGACCTGCCATTGTTAGAGGTGAGGGAAATAAATGTTTATCTAAAGGATGTGAAGTTTAAACGATGAACTTATGGAAGGATAGGGGTTAACCAAGTGAAAAGAGTTGGGGTTAGTGGATAAATTATATTCTGGAAGAGGAAATAGAATAAGCTGAGGCCTGAGTTGGCAAAGGAAATAGTATGTCCAATGAGATTTGGGTAGAACAACATATGACAGAACTGGAGAAGTAGGCAGTGTTCAGAGTGTGTAGACCCCAGTAAGCCACACGAATAGAATTTGATATTTGTCATAAAAGGAAAAGGAGCTGATGAGAGGTTTTAAACAGAGGAGTGATATCGTTCTGATTTACATTGTAAAACATATTACTCTTTGCTGTGCAGAGAATTAATTAAAGGGCCAAGGGTGAAAAGCAGGGAGGCCGATTAGTATGCCTTGAAATAATCCTGGCAAAAGATGATGGTAAAAGTCCAGGGCATGTTACACTGAGGTGCACTTGGGACATTCAAATGAAGATGTCAAGTAGGCAAGTTAATGTATGGATCTGGAGCATAGAATCAGGAAGTAGTAGGAAAACAAAGAACAGTAGCTTCAGACAGAAAACAGTGAGCCCTAAGTCAGTTAAGCTTGACTTGTGGTGCAAAGTACATTGCTGTTGCTTTTTGGGATGGCGTTTGGGCTTGTGCAGTAATAATGGAGCCAGAAAGAAGAGGGAAGAGTTAAAAGACATTTAGAAGGTATAATGAATGGGCTTGGCTTATGGTGGAACAATTTACCCAGATTGGGAAGACCATAGATGAAGCATATTTAGAAGGTGGGAGAATGATGATTTCCAATCATTCTCAGTAAACTATCGCAAGAACAAAAAACCAAACACCACATATTCTCACTCATAGGTGGGAATTGAACAATGAGAACACATGGACACAGGAAGGGGAACATCACGCTCTGGGGACTGTTGTGGGGTGGGGGGAGGGATAGCATTAGGAGATATACCTAATGCTAAATGACGAGTTAATGGGTGCAGCACACCAGCATGGCACATGTATACATATGTAACTAACCTGCACATTGTGCACATGTACCCTAAAACTTAAAGTATAATAATAAAAAAAATGTTGTGTAATCATCACCTCTGTGTAGTTCCAAAACATTTTCATCACCCCTAAATGAAATTTCATACATATTAGTCCTTCTTCATTTACCCCTTCACTAGCCCCTGGCAACCACTATTCTGCTTGCTATCTCAGTAGATTTACCCTTTGTAAATGTTTCATACGCATGGAATCATACAGTATGTGCTTTTTTGTGTCTGGTTTCTTTAAATTAGCATGTTTTAGAGGTTAATCCACAGCATGTATCAGTACTTCATTCCTTTTTATGGCTGAATAGTATGCTATTGTTTGTGTACACCACATTTTGTTTATCCATTCATCTGTTGACAGGCATTCGGGTTGTTTCCACCTTTTTTTTTCTATTGTGAATAGTGCTGCTATTAACGTTTGTGTCTGTGTTTTTTTTTTTTTCTTTTTTTGAGTACCTGTTTTCAAGTATTTCAGGTATATACCTAGTAATGAAATTGCTGGGTCACAGGGTAACTGAGGAACTGCCAAACTGCTTTCTTAATTAACAGAACCATTTTACATCCTCACAAGCAATGTACAGGGGTTTCAATTTCTCCACATCCTTGTCAACACTTGATACTGTCTGACATTTTGATTATGAGCATCCTAGTGGATGTGAGGTGTGTTTTTAATTTGTGTTTTTCCAGTGACTAATAACATTGAATGTACTTCCATGTGCTTGCTGGCTGTTTGAATATCTTTAGAGCAATATCTGTTCAAATAATCTGCTCAATTTTTAGTTAGGTTGTTTGTCATTTTGTTGTCAATTTGTAAAATTTCCTTGTATATTTTGAGTAATAGGCCCTTGTTATATATATGATTCGCAATTAGTTTCTCCCATTGTGTGGGTTGTCTTCTCACTTTCTTGATGGTGTATTTGAAAGAGAAAAATTTTTAATTTTGATGTAGTCAAATTTATCCATTTTTAATTTTGAAATCCAATGTGTCTATTTTTATTTTGTAGCTCATGCTTTTGGTTTCATATAAGAAACCCATTGCCAAATCCAAGGTCATGAAGATTTACCCTATATTTTATTTTAGCAGTTTTATGGTTTTAGCTTTTATATTTAGATTATTGACCCATTTTGGGTCACTGTTTGCCTATGGTATGATAAATGGGCCCAACTTAATTCTTTTGCGTATGGATACCCAGTTGTTCCAGCACCATTTTTGAGACTATTATTTTCATATTGAATGATATTTGTGCCATTCGAAATCAATGGATTAAAATCAATTTCAAAATCAATTGAACCTAGGTATATAAATGATATATGTACATATACAGCTATACATACAGATATATATCATATATATCTATATCTATATCTATATCTATATATCTATATATCTATCTATCTATCTATATATATATATATATATATATATATATATATATATATATATGTCTGTCATCATGCTAGTACCACACTATTTTGATTGGTGTAGTAAGGTTTGAAAGAAGGAAGTGTAAGTCCTCAAACTTTGTTTTTCTTTTCCCCTATTATTCTGGCTATTCAGAGTCCAATACAATTCCATATGAATTTTAGGATCAGTTTTTCATTTTTGCAAAAAAAGAAGTCCTTTAAGATTTTCATAGGGATTCAATTGAATATGTAGATTTCTTTGAGTAATACTGGTGTCTTAACAATATTGAATTTTCCAATCCATGAACATGGCACGCCTTTCCCCATCTTATTTAATTTAAAAATTTTTTTTTCTTTAATTTATTTCGGCAATATTTTATAATTTTCAACACATGCCTTGCACTTACTTGGTTAAATCATTAAAACATTTATTTAATTTTTAATGATATTATAAATGAAATTATCTTCCTAAGTTTCTTTTTGCATTGTTCATCGCTGATGTAGAAAAGTGTAATAAATTTTTGTCTTTTAATCTTATATTCTGCAACTTGAATTCATTTATTAATTAATAGTTTTCTGGGGGATTCTTTAGGATTTTCTACATGGCATCTCTAAAAAGAGATGATTTTCCCTCTTCATTTCCAGTTTGGATGCCTTTTATTGCCTAGTTGTTGTTCATAGAACTTCCACTACAGTGTTGCATTGCAGCAGTGAAAGTGGGTATCTTTGTTTTGTCCTTTATCTTAGGGGGAAGTTTACACTTTTTTGCCACTGAGTATATTGTTAGCTTTGGAGTTTTCATACATGTCCTTTATCCTGTTGAGTCAGTGCTCTTCTACTCCTGATTTGTTGATTATTTTCTTTATTTTTATTTTACTTTGAGTTCCGGGATACCTGTGCAGAACGTGCAGGTTTGTTACATAGATATACCTGTGCCATGGTGGTTTGTTGCACCTTTTGACCCATCATCTAGGTTCCCTCCCCTCGACACCCCACCCCCCAAACAGGCCTTGGTATGTGTTGTTCCCCTCCCTGTGTCCATTTGTTGTCATTGTTCAACTTCCACTTATGAGTGAGAACATGTGGTATTTGGTTTTCTGTTCTTGTGTTAGTTTGCTGAGGATGATGGCTTCCAGCTTCATCCATGTCTCTCTAAAGGACATGATCTCATTCCTTTTTATGGCTGCATAGTATTCCATGGTGTATATGTACAACATTTTCTTTATCCAGTCTATCATTGATGGGCATTTGGGTTGGTTCCATGTCTTTGCTATTGTAAATAGTGCTGTAATAAATATACATGTGCATGTGTCTTTGTAGTAGAATGATTTATATTCCTTTAGGTATATACCCAGTCATGCGATTTCTGGGTCAAACGGTATTTCTGTTTCTAGGTTCTTGAGGAATCACCACACTGTCTTCCACAACGGTTGAACTAGTTTACACTCCCACCCACAGGGTAAAAGTGTTCCCATTTCTCCACAGCCTTGCCAGCATCTATTTTTTCTTGACTTTTTAATAATTGCCATTTTGACTGGTGTGAGGTGGTATCTCATGGTGGTTTTGATTTGCATTTCTTGAATGATCAGTGATGTTGGGCTTTTTTCATATGTTTGTTGGTAATGTCCTCCATTACTGCCATATTTTGTGATTAGTTCATTTTTTTCTTGTGAACCATTTTGATTCCTTCCTTATTTCCTTTTCTGTTTTTTTTTTTAATTTTTATCTTAGTAGTTTGTCTGTAACTATCAAATTTGAATGAATGCCAACTTAATTTCAATAGTATACAAAAACTCTGCTCATTTACATCTCCAGCCTCCCATATTGTTTCTGTCACAAGCCACATCTTTATACATTGTGTGTCCATTTATATAGATTTATAATTATTGTTTTAAGCATTTGTCTTCTTAAATAATGTGGGGAAAAAGATGAGTTACAAACCAGAATAGTTATGAAACTGGCTTTTAAATTAAACTATGTAGATAGCTTTATGTTGCTCTTCATTTCTCATATGGTTTTGAATAACTATCTAATGAGTTACTCTTTCCAGCTTTGAAGACCCGCTTTAGCATTTCTTGTGGGACAGGTCTACAAGTTGTAAACTCCATCAACTTTTGTTTACTTGACCAGGTCTTTATTTCTCTTTTATTTTGGAAGGAAAGTTTTGTCAGATATGGAATTCTTTGTTGACAAGTTTTTCCTTTCAGCACTTTACTGCCTCTGGCCTCCAAGATTTCTGAAGAGAAATAAGCTGTTAATCTTATTGAGGCTCTTCTGTACATGGTGAGTCACTTCTCTCTTGCTGCTTTCAAGATTCTCTGCCTTTGCTTTTCAATAATTTCATTGTAATGTGTCTTGGTGTGGATCTCTTTGAGTTTATGCTATCTGAAATTTGTAGAATTTTCTTGGATGTGTATATTTATCCCTTTTGAAAACTTTGGGAAATTTTTGGCCACACTTTTATCAAATATACTTTTTTGCCTTCTATTCTTTCCTTCTGGAATTTTCATTATGCATATATTGGTATGCTTGATGTTATAGGTCTTTTAGGCTGTGTTCACTTTCTTCATTCTTTTTTTCTTCTCCTCAGACTAGATGATTTCCTTAATCTATCTTTTTAGTACACTGATTCTTTCTTCTGTATGCTCAAATCTGTTGTTGAACCTCTCTGGTAAATTTTCCAATGCAGTTATTGTACTTTTTCAGCTCTAAAATTTTAATTTGGTTCTTTTCAATAACTTCTCTCTCATTATTGATATTCTCTTTGGTGAGAGATCATTCTCCTGATTTTCTTTAATTCTTTGTCTTTGATTTCCTTGAGCTCTTTGAGCATATTTAAGGCAGCTGACTTACTATCACTGTCTCGTAAGCCCAATATGTAAGCTTTCTCAGGAACAGTTTCTATTAGTAATTTTTTTCTGTAAATGGGTCATATTTTCTTGTTTCTTTGCATGCTTTGTAAATTTTTTTGTTAAAAACAGGACATTTTGAATAGTATAATGTGGCAACTCTGGAAATCAGATTATTACCCTCCCTGGGCTTGCTGTTGCTGCTTGCTACTGGCTGTTTGTTTGTTTAGTGACTCTTCTAAATTATTTCCATAAAGTCTGTATTCTTTGTCATGTGTGGCCATTGAAATCTGTATTGCATTAGTTTAATGGTCAGATAGTGTTTTACATGGTTTCTGTAAAAGCCTGAAGCCAAAAAAAGAAAGAAAGAAATATTAAACAGGAAAAAAAATCTATTTAGTTAGATTGGCTTTCTGTTGTGGCACTCTTACTGCTTAGCCAGGCCTTAACCTTCACTTCCGGTTTGAGAGAAGCCTGAGGGTCACTCAAAGGTGAAAGCTTAGGGTTTTCTCAGGCCTTTCCTGAGCATATGTTTAGCCCTGGGCAACTGCATTGCCTTCTCAATTCCCACCTATAAGCAAGAGCTTCAAAAGTTTTTATTCACTTCCCTCCCCATATCTCCTTTACCAACTTCCTCCTTCCCATGATTTTTCCTTTGTCTATTTCTCATACCTATTTCTTGCTCAAGATTCCTTTAGCCAATGTTTGTCTTTAAACACTTTCTGCAAAAATCACCTAGGAAGCCACTCCACCCTGGGAATGGTGTAAATTGAGCAAAACAAATGCAAACCCTTGCGCTGATGCTTCATAATGCTACCCAACTAGTTGAAAGACAATCACAGCTATTTGAGAATAAAATTCCTGTTGCTCCCTTTGGCACTAGCAACCTGAACCAGGAATGCAGGATGTCATCTTCATGGCCACTGCTGATCTGGGAAGTGGAAGATGATCGGTGGGAAATTGTAAAGTCCACAACATTCTCTTACTACAACGCAGCAGCTTCCTTTTTCATTAAACTTTCTCCTGGTTATTGTAAATTTTGACTAGTTCCTAGAGTCCTGCAAAGTTGATTCTGACAGTTTTTGCTAGTTTATCTGTTGCTTTTATGGAGGGAGGGGACTGTGAATTCCCTATTCTGCCGTTTTCTGTGGAATCACTATCTTTGTGGGTTTTTGATGTGTTTACTAAGGCTTCTTTAATCCCTTTTTATTCTCTAGTGGCTGGCAATTTTTGCTTTCTATTTTTATTCTACTCGTGTTACTTAAAATTTTTCATAAGTTTTATAAAAAGTGAACACCTGTGATTATAAAGCAAACACCTGCATAGTCATGATTCAGCTCAAGAAATTACCAGCACCTTAAGGCCCACTGTGTGTCTCTTGAAAATCACTCCCATCTAATTCCTTTATGGAAGA
Organism: Homo sapiens; assembly: GCF_000001405.40. Classification (NCBI taxonomy): domain Eukaryota; kingdom Metazoa; phylum Chordata; class Mammalia; order Primates; family Hominidae; genus Homo; species Homo sapiens. The sequence continues at coordinate 135,034 of NW_025791818.1, read as the reverse complement.
AACTGATATCCTTAGTTTCATAATTAGAATGACCTTGATTTTATTGTAGTTTTACTACCCATATGTGCATCTCCACACAATATTGTGTAATTTTGCCTGTTTGTGAACAGTATATAAATGCAATTCAGTGTATATGTTTTATTTTGGGGGAGGCTTTTCTTATTTCACTCAATATGATACTTCTAAGATTCATTTATGTTTGGTAAAGTGACAGTTCATATATTTTGCCCATTAAAAAAATTAGGCTGTTTGCCTTTTTATTATTGAGGTGTACATGCTTAATATAGTCTCTATACAATTTTTTGTCAGATATATATCTTATAAATATTTCTATCAGTCTGTGGCTTACCTTTTAATTTCCTTTTTTTTTTCTTTTCTTTTTTTTTGAGATGGAGTCTCGCTCTGTCACCCAGGCTAGAGTGCAGTGGCGTGATCTCAGTTCACTGCAACCTCTGCCTCCTGTGTTCAAGCAATTCTCTGCCTCAGCCTCCCGAGTAGCTGGGATTACAGGAGCCCGCCACCACGCCCAGCTAGTTTTTGTATTTTTACTAGAGATGGGGTTTCACCATCTTGGCCAGGCTTTTCTTGAACTCCTAACCTCGTGATCCATCCTCCTTGGCCTCCCAAAGTGCTGGGATTACAGATGTGAGCCACCGTGCCTGTTAATTTTCTTAACAGTGTCTTTGGAAGAGCCAAAGCCTCTAATTTTAGTGAAGACAAATTTATCACCTTTCTTTTACATGTCATGGTTATTGTGTTCTATTTAAAACAATATTTTTCTATTCTAAAGTCACTCAAATTTTTTCTTTTTTTTTCTAGAACATTAAAAGTTTTAGCCCTTACATTTAGGTCTACAATCAATTTCAAGTTAATACTTTTGTAAGGTGTGTGGTAATGGTCAGTGTTCTTTTTTTTTGCATACAGATATCTTATTGTTCCAGTACAATTTTTTGAAATAATTGCCGTTTCATTGGTTCTGTATACCAATTGACCATGTTTGAATGGTTCTATATCTACATGCTTTACTATGTTTCGTTGATCTATATATCTATATTTACACCAATACTATACTGTCTTTATTGTAGTTTTATATTATCTTTAAATTTAGTAGTGTGAGTCCTACAATTCTTATTTTATTTTTTTAAATTGTTTTGACTGTTTTAGGTTTCTTGCATTTCCACATCAATTTTAGAATTAGCTTGTCAACTTTTACAAAAGTCTGCAAGAGTTTTCATTGACTTCATATTGAATGTCGATCTGTAGAAATGAATATTAACAATAATAAAACTTCCGATCTGTCAGTACAGTATATCTTTGCATTTTATTTAGGACTTCTTTGATTTCTCCCAACAATGCTTTGTAATTCTGTTTTACATCTCTTGATAATCTATTGTCAATTTCTTCCTTAAAATTCAATATTTCATTTGAATTTTTTGGATGCTGTTTGGATGTATTTTATTTTTTGGATGGTATCCTAAATGGTAACTTCTAAATTTTTAAATTTCGATTTCTGTGTATTCATAACTAGTATACAGAGATGCAATCAGTTTTGTATATTAATTAACCTCATATACTCTCTAAATTTTTCAAAATACAAATATTAGTTCGAGTGGCTTCTTTGTGGATTATCTAAGATTTTCTACATAAATGATTATGTCTTCTGTGAATATATGCAGTTTTATTCCTTCCTTTCCAAGCTTCATGCTTGCTTTCCCTGTATCTTTTTTTATTCCACTGGATAGTATTTCCAGTACAATGTTGAACAACATTGTACCAATGTCAAATAACATTATACCACTTTTCGTGTCATATAAGAACTGTACAACAGTATACAGTGCTTCTATTTCCCTCCCCAAGACTTTGTGCTATTTTTATTGTACATTTTACTCCAACATATGTTTTATGCCTCATACTATGTTGTTATTACTTTTGATTTATACAGTTATCTTTTTCCTTTCTTTTGACTATTTAGCAAAGTAACATTGCATAAGCTGTTTAGTAACTAGGACACAGCTTACACAGCATGTTAAATGCATATACATTATCAGCAGCAAATTAGAAACAGAAAATAGCAGTATTGAGTTACAAGTCTCCTATAATTTTTTAAAAGAGGAAAAATTGTGTTGTCGAATCTGAAGAGCTAGTTAAGTATAGTCTGAATCTTAAGGGACATCATCTGCCATATTCTTAAATTTTAATACTTACAAATGCCTAGTTTTAAGGTAATAAAGCAGCTGGTTGTGTCTACAACACGTTATTCTATGACACCACATCAAAAAACTTTCAGTAAAGAAACTCATTCCTGTTTTCTTAGTAGCATCTAGAAGACTCCCAAATACCAAGAATCTTAACTTTTAAATGGTGGCGTTCCAGATATGATGCCAAAAAGCAATGTGATAATTGAGTTTCATAACAGAATTAAGTGTCCAAGAAAAGAAAAATTACCCGTCACTAGCTCATTATCTCACTATCAGAATTTACAAACAAATCTTTCTATTTTGCAGGATTCCTTCTTTTAATATTTTAAGGAAAATGTGGGCATATTAAAGTAATAATATACAAATTTACGTTCTGCATTCTTCCTCTAACAATTTGGCCCTGTGCCTCTTTGAAGAATGAAAAACCCTACAAAACTAAATTTTCATAATGAGAATAATAGTGTAATAAAGTCCAAAACAAATTGTGATGCTGTTGGTTTTCAAAAAGCTTTAAGGCCTGAGATGAGCAACCCACTGTAACATTATGCACTAATCAAGCTGATAATGCTCTTACAGTTTATCTCTGTCAGCTGATTTCATAAAGTAGCTTTGTCAACTGTAAACAAAGCCAATTATCTTTTTAAGAGACTAAGGAATAAGTTTAAAAAGTGTTTTATATTTATCTGCATATTTAAGTTTCCAGGGCTCTTTATTCTTTTGTGTATATTCAAATTTCCGTTTATCTTTTCTTGTTCTGCCTGAAGCAATTCCTTTAGCATTCATTCTAATGCTGGTGTGTTGATGATGAATTTTCTTAGCTGTTGTATGTCTGGACATATTTTTATTTTACTTTCACATTTGAAAGATATTTTTACTGGGTATAGAATTCTAGATTGATGGTTGATTTTTGTTGTTTTACTTTCAATGCTTCAAAGATGTTTCCCCACTGTGTTTGGGTTTGCATTGTTTCTGGTGAGAAGTCTGATTTAATTTTATTCATTTTCTGTATCATATATCTTTTTCTCCACTTCTGGTTGCTTTAAAGATTTGTTCTTTTTATTACTGTTTTCATAATTAGATTGTAGTTAATGTTTTCTCATTTTTCTTATGCTCAGGATTCATTTGGTTTGGGTTTGTAGGTTTATAGTTTTCATCAAATTTATAAATTTTGCCCATTATTTCTTTAAATAATCTTACTCATGCCTCAGCCTCCAATTACAAATATGTTAGGCCACTTGATGTGCACTGGTACTCTTTCATTTTTTAGCCATTTTCTCTCTGTTTTATTCTGATAGTTTATGTTGCTCTGTCTAAAGGTTTATTCGTTTTTTTTCTGCAATGACAATCTGTTGTTAGGTTACTTTATTGAATTTTTTTCATCTCAGATACTGTATTTTTCTCTAGAATTTTAATTTAAGTCTTTTAATATCTTCTGTTTATTTCTTCATTGTCTTCATGTTTTTCTCTACCTATTTGTATACATGGCAGAAATTTATAACTGCTGTTTTATGGCCTTTGTCTATTAATTCTGTAATCTGTGTTATTTATGTTTTTATTCTATTGACTGATTTTTCTCCTTATTATGGATCACATTTTCTTATTTCTTTGCATGCCTGGTAATTTTTTTTTTTATTATACTTTAAGTTCCGGGATACATGTGCAGAACGTGCAGGTTTGTTACATAGGTATACACGTGCCATGGTGGTTTGCTTCACCCATCAACCCGTCATCTACATTAGGTATTTATCCTAATGCTATCCCTCCCCTAGCCCCCAACCCCCGACGGGCCCCGGTGTGTGATGTTCGCCTCCCTGTGTCCATGTGTTCTCATTGTCCAACTCCCACTTATGAGTGAAAACATGCGGTGTTTGGTTTTCTGTTCTTGTGTTAGTTTGCTGAGAATGATGGTCTCCAGCTTCATCCATGTCCGTGCAAAGGACATGAGCTCATCGTTTTTTATGGCTGTGCATGCCTGGTAGTTCTTTATTGGACTGCAGACATTTTGTGGCAGATTGTTGTGTGTTGGTTGTTTTTGTATTCCTTTATGTGTTTTTGCGCTTTGTTCTGGAACAAAGCTAAGTTACTTAGAAAAATTTTGCTAAGTTAAGCCTTGATTTTAAGCTTTGCTAGGCAGATCTATAACAACCCTGCATCTAGAGTGACTTTCTCAGCATTAAGGCAATCCTCTATTGAGAAAAACTATTGCTACGTTGATTCTGAGCCTCTTTACTTTTCATGCTATTGTAAACACTATTTTACTTTGTTTTGTAATTGTTCATGGCTGATATATAGAAATACAGAAACTATGCTGAACTTATTAATTTGAATAATCTATAGATCCTTTTGAATTTTCTATATTCACAATTATACCCCTGAAAATGACAATTTTAATTTTTCCTTTTCAATTGCATTTCTATCTTTCCTTTTTTTGGCTAGGATCTCTAGTACGATGCTGATTAAAAGTTTAGATAGTCGTCATCCTTGGCTCACTCCTGATCTTAAAGGGGAAACTACTAAAATTACATCATTCAGTATGATGTTTGCTGTAGTCTTGTTTGTAGCTACTCTTCATCAGATGAAGGAAATTCCTATCTATTCCTAGTTTTTAAGACTTTTTATTAGCAATAGAACATTTTTTTTGAGACAGGATCTTGCTATGTTGCCCAGGCTGGTCTTGAACTCCTGGATTCAAGTGATCCTGCTGCCTCAGCTTCCCGATTAGCTGGACTACAGGTGCATGTGAGCATGCCCAGTAATGTAACATTTTTCTTAATGATTGAAATATTTATATGATTCTTTTCCCCTTTATTTGGTTAATGTGATGAATTATGTTGATTTTAAAATTTTAAGCCACGCTTGCATTTTTGAAATAACTCCAACTTGTTCATGATGTTTTCTTTTATATATATTTCTTTTTTCACTTTTATTTAAGTTCAGGGGTACATGTACGGGTTTGTTATATGTCATGGGGGTTTGTCGTACAGATTATTTCATCACCCAGGTATTAAACCTTGTACCCATTAGTTATATTTTCCTGATTCTCTCCCTCCTCCCAATGTCCACCGTCCAATAGGCCCCAGTGCGTGTTGTTCCCCTATATGTGTCCACGTGTTCTCATCATTTAGCTCCCATTTATAAGTGAGAACATGCAATATTTGGTTTTCTGTTCCTGTGTTAGTTTTCTAAGGATAATGGCCTCCAGATCCTTCCATGTTCCTATATATTTATTTATTCGCTTTGCAAATCTTTTGTTTTGAATGTTTACATCTCTATGGGTGAGAATCACTTGTAGTTCTCTTTTCTTTACAATGTTTTAATCAGATTTTGGTATCAAAGTTATGTTGGCCTTATAATGTGGTTGAAATATCCTCTCATTTTCTCTTTGTAGAAAGAGATTGTGTATCGTTGTCCTTATTTTTGCTTTAAATGTTTGGTTGAAGTCTCCAAAGACATCTAGGCTTGAAGCTTTATTTGTGGGAAGATGTTAATTACAGAGTACTTTTTAGTCGTTATAGGACTAATCAAATAATCTACTAAATCCATTGTTTTTGTCTTGATGTTTTGATTTTCCTTTCTTAGAGATTTCTGGGAGAATATCCTAGCGAGGGCTTCCAGATCACTAATTTAATATTTGGCCATTTTTTTTCTCTCAATTTTCCTTCAGTTAAAAAAAATTCTAAAAACAAAGTTTTAAATTTCTTATAGATCAGACTGATGTATTTTCATAGTAGTGTGTTCTTATTTTATTGTTTTAACATCCTGTTGACTTTTTCTGGGGTGACTAAATGAGCCTCTTTCTCCTGGGGATAATTGTTTAATATGTTCATCTTGCTTCTTTTTCATTGTCATGGTTTTCTTCAAGGATTTGATGATTCTTGAGTGCCTATTCATATTTATCAAAGAAGATCTTAGCTCATCATTTGGATCCAATACAGTTTTCCTTAGTAGTTATAGGAGCACATTGTCACAATAAACCTCTTTGCTGAATGGAGGATTGAGTAATTTGCCCTGTGTACACAGGAGTATATATGCTGACAGACTTCTCTCAAGAGTATTTTGGTATGAAATTTCTAGACAAGCCAGATATTGTTGTTATTGGCAAAAAAAGTCATTATCCTGAAGTAGAACACTTTAATGTATTAACGCCTATGCAGAGTTGTGTTTTCCCCATTTCCCCCCATTTCTTTCTTTTCATGCATTTATGTATTTATTTTGGTTAGTTAATTATTTTAATTGTAAATACAAAGCGTATGTTTTTATGGTGTACAACATGATGTTTTGAAATTTGTATACATTATGGAATGTCTAAATCAAGCTAATTTTCATGTGCATTCTCTCACAGACTTTTTTGTGGCAAAAACACTTAAAATCTACTTTTCTTGGCAATTTTCCAGTATACACTACATTGTTGTGCACTGCAGTCACTGTAGTCACTATTGTTGTACAATAGATCTTTTGAACTTATTCCTCTTGCTAACTGAAATTTTGTGTGCTTTGACCAACATCACATCATTTTTATTGAGAATTGAAGATATCACTAGAGTCCCAACACACATAATAGATATTCCTTATGGAATATACTCTGTGTTTTAAAAGTAACTGATGTGGCCAGGTGTGAGGCTCACACCTGTAGGCCCAGCACTTTGGGAAGCTGAGGTGAGAGAATCGCTTGAGCCCAGGAGTTTGAGACCAGCCTGGGCAACAAAATGAGACCCTGTCTTTACAAAAAAAAAAAAAAAAAGATACAAAAATTAGTTAGGCGGGGTGGTATGCACCTGCAGTCCCAGCTACTTGGGAGGCTGAGGTGGGAGGATTGCTTAGCCCAGGAAGTTGAGGGTGCAGTAAGCTGTGATCATGCCACTAAACTCCATCCTGGGTGACAGAAAGAGACTCTATCTCCTAAAAAAATAATTGATGTTTAGACTAAAATACCGTATCCATGTACTCTTTATTTACAACTTGGTACTGAGGTTGGAAGGTGTAAATGATTCTTTCACCTGTTCTCCAATATTTTATCACTATAACAGTTTTTCTATTACCTGCTTGTGCTTCCTGTTTTTGCTTCCCCAAAGCTTTGAATTTCATCCTATGAAGAACCATTTTAAAGCATGTCTCTTACCTCTGTGACAGTAATCTCCCTCCTCTATTTTACATGGCACTGTTTATGCTCTATCAATATTATAACTATATCTTGCAGAAATTCTTCAGTGTTTTGGTATAATTATAGTTCCCCTTTCCATATTTTTGTATTGAAATATATTATCTTCTTTTTATTTTCTATTATTTCAATTTCAGTAGTAATTTTGGGCATTTAAGGAGTTAAATGGTTGCACTCATTTCACAGTCTCAAAATAAAAGTTCATATATCTTTCTAACAGTGGCCTCTTTGCTTCCCTTTACTACTGAACCTTTTCTCTTGCTTGTCCTGAGTTGCAAGGAGGTGGTAGATATTTCCTGGTTTCCAAATTGTTGCGCTAATTTAATTTAATTTATTTTTCCCCATGTAGCAATCCTCTATAATCCATGGCAGGTTTGGAGAATTTCTAAAATATTGTTTATTATCAACCTTTCTTTCTGGTAAATCAGAGTTATTAGCTTAAAACTTTTAGTACAACTATTTAATATAAATTTTAGATAATAGATGTCACATAAAAGCTTGACCAAGAAGAATAGGTAGGATTCTTCCGATTACATTGTATCAGAGCAAAATGGGCCTTTAAAGACCATTCATTCTAACTCCATCATTATACATATGTGGGATAAACTGAGTTAAATGAATTGCTTCAGTTCCCACAGCTAGTTAGGGATAGAACCAAGAGTATGTCTTAGTTCATTTGTGTTTTGCACTATAACATTATGCTTCTCACCATAAAATGATGATGACAATGAACTCTGTTCTTTCAGGTTACCAAAGTCAAGTCCAAAGTCAATTCCCTGGCTTTCAAATTTTCTGATAATGTGACCCCGTCTGTGTTTTATCACCTTTTCAGCTACATTTATTTCTCCAGCAAACTGGACTGCTACTTTTGAACTTGTCTCTTGGTATGGTTTTCTCTTCTTTTATGAATATCTTTTCCCCTTCATCAATCAATTGCTTAATTCTTATTCATCATTCAGGGACATGTCTCCCATGAAGCTTTCTTTTCTTATTTTTGACTTTTATTTTAGATTCAAGGGCTACATATGCCACTTTGTTACCTGGGTCCCATGAAGCTTTCTTGGCCTTTCCCAGTCATCAGCAATGATTCCCACGTTTATGTTCCTATGGTATTTTTCAAGTGTATTTTATGGTTCTTGTCAAAACCTGTGAGCTTTAGCATATATTGGAGTGTTTTTTATGATGGTCCCTTTGGAGTGACAATAAGCCTCTTTCACCAGTAATCATGTGCCAAGGAGTATGAAGGAGTCACATTACCTCATCATAATGTGATGAAAAGAGGGACACAGTGTCATTTTCAGGACTGGGTCAATATTCTTCTCATAAAGAATAGGAATCTGGAAGAGAAAGTCACTAAAACTGGCTAACTGTTGGAGAGAACAGAAATGGATCTGGAAAGTTCCCCTTGTGGATATGAATAATTTCCTGGTTAAGTCTGATGTCCTGTCTAATTGTGAGTAGACATTATCTGGGTAAAGTTCTAAGAGTAGATCAAGTAGGCCCTTGAAGAGAGGACACAAAATTATTTGAGTCTGATAATGGTGACCAGTTTATTCCTGAAGGGAGAACTGTGATTGGTTCTGTCCAATAACATGACTATGCCTATGATGACATGGTAGTTGAGTGGGGCAATAGTGGGAAAATGCTACAGAGAATTCTTACCTTCAGAGGCTATAAGTTACGGTAGGTACTACTACTCGACACTTGGAGATACTGGAGTATACTTACGTAATCTTTAGAGTCCAGAGAGCATTGGAGGGACTTGGAGAGACTGGGGGAAATTTTGTCCATATTTGTTGGTGTTATTTTCATTTTAATCATATCTCTTTCTACTGTGCCTGGCTATCCAGTGGTGAACTTTTTGTATTCTAGGCAGGGGTTCAGCCAAACAAAAGGTTATAAATCTGCTAGTATTTAAGTGATGCTATTTGTCTTACATTAGTTGTTCTTATACTAATGCTATTTCCCTTGCTAGAATATAAGCAAAGATGGAGCTGACACATCAGGGAGCAGGTTGAGTTTGTCTCCATGTTCCTTTCTTGGCCTCTCTTTTCTACTTTTAAGTGTCTGGTTTGGCACAGAACTTGATTCCGAGAGGTGTTTTTGACTGACTGAGCACATGTTGAAAGTTTTATTTTCTGAAGCATAGTGTTGGAGACACGGCCATACTGGGGGACAAGGTGGCTTTCTAAACATTTTCCTAAGCACTTACTGAATTATTAAGCATTTTCCTCTTTGTGTCAAAACCAAGATCAAGCCATATTCTCCAGTCTCATAAAATGATGGATAAGGGTTCGTTTTTTAAATTGGTATCAGATGAGGCACCTTTAGTTATCGATGAACTTTTCTCAAAGCTGCAGATGGGCCAACTATTGCAAAATTTTTTTTTTATTTTAGTTTATTTTTAATTTATTTTTTATTTTATTTTATTTTAATTTAATTTTAATTTTTTTATTTTAATTTGTGATGGTAGCCATAAAAATTCAACAACAAAAAGAAATAGTTTAATTTTTTATTGGATGGTTTTATCCATGTCTGAAGACGAGGGAATAATTTTTAAGGTCTTAAGCTAAGTGCCCTTTTCACTCACTTCCCCACATTCTTAGACAACTAATTCACAGTCACCTCTGTTTAAACATCCGATATCTTCTCCTCCATTCTTACTTTGCACTGGGAAAACAGAAACAATTAGAAGGCAAATTCCTCATGCTCTTACCATGTCATTTATCTACCTCTCATAATCTGTACTCATATAACTTGCCTCCCATTTCTCAGAGCTGTGTACTGCGAACTCATGTTAATCTCTCAATTTGTACCTTGCATTCTACTAAAGAGCAGCCCTTCAACAAGTCTCACCTCTCTCTCCTGCTTCACCAACCTTTCTTTTTCTACCAATTGATTTCCCTCTGTTGACAAACATGCTGTAATATCTTCTATCATAAAAATATGCAAAACAACTTTTTTGACTTCCCATTCCTTTTCTGCTTTTTGAAGTGTATCTCTGCTTCTCTTTACAGCAAAATTTCTCAGAAGAATTTTCTATACTCACTGTTTCCCTTTTCTTATTCACTAATAAATCCATTGCAGTCAAGTTTTCCATTTCATCACTTCACTGAAACTTTTCTTGCCATGTTTGCCAAGGACTTCTGCTTTATCAAATCCAATGGTCAAATCTCATTGCTCATCATACCAAATCTTTCAGCAGTACCTGAAACTGTTTGCTTTCCTTTTCTTCTTGAAATGTTACCATCCCTTGGCTTCTGTCATCCCATTCTCTCTTAATTGTCCTTCTACCTCACTGGCTACTTTCAGCTTTCTTCACTCCTTTCCTTTCCTGCCTACGAAACTTTGGGGGAGGCCCTCAGGCTCAGTCCTAAGCCCTTCCCTTCTTTCCCTAGGGGATCTTGTCAATGACTATAAATATGATCTATATGGTAACAACTGTCGTATTTCCAGCCTTAACTTCTTTTCTAACTGATTTATTTTCAGCATCTCCACTCAGATGGATGGCCCAAACAAAATTCTTGAGTGCCTGTCTTCTCCTATAATGAAAACCAAAACCCCATCAGCAGTAAACCTCCTCCTCCAGCTCAGTAAATGTCATCCTACTCTCACTTTTTTGCCCCAGTGTATAAGACCACTAACCCTGCAGTAATAATTTATGCCTCCCTCACATACCCCAAATTTCAGCAACTTCTGTCAGCTTCCTTTGGAATTATACCACCTCCCTTGCTTTCACACAAGACTACACCACCATCATCATATGGGATATTGTAACCTCCTCCTAACTTTTACTTGCCTTAATGTCATCATTACAGAGAGGCCTTCTCTGGCCATTTTCCATAGCATTTTATACCATCAGGTATATGAGTTACATGTTTATTGTCAGTCTTTCCCCAATAATAATATAAGCTCCTTGATGATAAAAAGTTTTGTCTGTTTTGTTCATTCCTGTTTGTAACAGCAAATACATGGCACACATTAGGAACTAAAATATTTATTTAATGAATGGCTCCTGATCCCCATCTCCCCATTATTTTGCCATGTCTAAATGCCTGAATGTCATCTCTTTTATGTATATTCATTACTCTCTACACCCTCCATTCACTGTATTTAAATTATCTATGAACTTACCTTTACCTGCCACCCAGTTTGGAGCAGGTGGTTTAAAGTTAACAGGCATCAGACAGAAAGCAGAGCTACTCAGCTCGTTTTTATGTCCATGTTTTCCAACAAGGAGAAGGGCCATCAAATTGGAAATGATAGATTGATTCATAACCAGAAGAGGTACTGTCCCATGAGGGAACATTTGGTATTGGGCGAGTGGGTTCTTTGGTTACACAATAACTGGCGGAGGGGAGCATGCTGCTGGTATTTAGTGGGTAGGAGACAGATGTACTGAAGTCTTATAAGAGAATTGCCCCACCTCAAATGCCAGTAGTGCTGTCATTGCAATATATGAGAATAAGCTTTGAAGAGAAGGAATTATATTCCAAAAGAGTTTGGACAACAAACAAATAAATGAATTCAGTTTGTACGACAGGTAAATTGCATCCCAGAACACTAAAAGAACTTTATGATATTATGTTTGAGCCCTTGTCTATATCCTTGGAAGAATTATTGCAAATAGGAGATGGAAGAGAAGCCAATTTAGTATCCAAACAAGAAAGTCAAGTCTCAATGTGGTGTAATCACATCTCATTAATTATCAAAAGTCATGTTTCTAAGATTGATAACCCACTGTAATTCACTTTGGTTCAAATCTATAGATATTTACTGAGCATCCCTTGCTTCTTAGCCCATGGTTGGTGATATGGTTTGGCTGTGTCCCCATCCAAATCTCATCCTGAATTGTAACCTCCACTGTGGGAGGGACATGGTAGGAGGTAATTGAATCATGGGGGCAGTTACCTCTATGTGATTCTCATGATAGTGAGTGAGTTCTCATGAGATCTGATGGTTTTATAAGGGGTTCTCCCCCACTTCCCTCTCATTTTCTTTCTTGCCTGCCACCATAAAGGAAATGCCTTTCACTTTCCACCATATTTGTGAAGCCTCCCCAGCCACGTGGAACTATGAGTCCATTAAACCTCTTTTTCCTTATAAATTACCCAGCTTCAGGTATGTCTTTATCAGCAGCGTGAAAATGGACTAATACAGTAAATTGGTACCAGGAGTGGGGCAATGCTGTAAAGATACCAGAAAATGTGGAAGATATTTTGGATATGGGTAATAGGCAGAGGTTGGAACAGTTTGGAGGGCTCAGAAGAAGACAGGAAAATGTGGGAAAGTTTGGAACTTTCTAGAGACTTGGTGGGCTCAGAAGACAGGAAGATGTGGGAAAATTTGGAGTTTCCTAAAGACTTGTTGAATGGCTTTGACCAAAATGCCAACAGTGATATGGACAATAATATCCAGGCTTAGGTGGTTTCAGATGGAAATGAGAAACTTACTGGGAACTGGAGTAAAGGTTACTCGTGCTATGCAAAGAGACTGGAGGCATTTTGCCCCGTCCCTAGAGATCTGCGGATCTTTGAACTTGAGAGAGATGATTTGGGGTACCTGGTGAAAGAAATTTCTAAGCAGTAAACCATTCAAGAGGTGACAGAGCATAAAAGTTGGGAAAATTTGCAGCCTGACAATGCAATAGGAAAGAAACCCATTTTCTGGGGAGAAAGTCAAGCCTGCTACAGAAATTTGCATAATGAATGAGGAGCCAAATGCTAATCACCAAAACAATGTGGAAAATGTCTCCAGGGCATGTCAGAGACCTTCATGGCAGCCTCTCCCATCACAGGTCTGGAGGCCTAGGAGGGAAAAATGGTTTTCTGTGCTGGGCCCTGGGCCCCCCTGTTCTGTACAACCTCAGGAGATGGTGCCCTACATCCCAGATGCTTCATTTCCAGCCATGGCTAAAAGGGGCCAATGTACAGCTCAGGCCATTGCTTCAGAGGGTGCAAGCCCCAAGCTTTGGCAGTTTATATGTGGTGTTTGGCCCGTGGGTGCACATAAGTCAAGAATTAAGGTTTGGGAACCTCCGCCTAGATTTCAGAGGATGTATGGAAATGCCTGGATGTCCAGGCAGAAGTTTGCTGCAGAGGCAGTGCCCTCATGGAGAACCTCTGCTAGAGTAGTGTGGAAGGGAAATGTGAGGTCAGAGCCCCAATACAGAGTCCCCACTGGGGCACTGCTTAGTGGACCTGTGAGAAGAGGGCTACTGTCCTCCAGACCCCAGAATGGTAGTTCCACCTACAGCTTGCATCATGTGCCTGGAAAAGTCACAGACACTCAATGCCAGCCAAGAAAGCAGCCAGGAGAGGGGCAGTACCCTGCAAATCCACAGGGGCAAAGCTTCCCAAGGCTGTGGGAGACCACCTCTTGCATCAGTGTGATCTGGATGTGATTTATGGAGTCAAAGGAGGTCATTTTGGAACTTTAAGGTTTAATAACTGCCCTACTGAATTTCAGACTTTCATGGGGCCTGTAGCCCCTTTGTTTTGGCCAATTTCTCCCATTTGGAATGGGTATATTTACCCAATGCCTGTACCCCCATTGTATCTAGGAAGTAACTAACTTTCTTGCAATTTTACAGGCTCATAGGTGGAAGGGACTTGTGTCAGATGAGACTTTGGACTTGGACATTTGAGTTCATGCTGGAATGAGTTAAGACTTTGGGGGACTGTTGGGAAGGCATGACTGTGTTTTGAAATGTGAGGACATGAGATTTGGGATGGGCCAGGGGCAGAATGATATGGTTTGGCTGTGTCTCCTCCCAAGTCTCATCTTGAACTGTAGTTCCTAGAATCCCCACGTGTCATGGAAGGGACCTGGTGGGAGGTAACTGAATCATGGAGGTGGTTACCTCCATGCTGTTCTTGTGACAGTGAATGAGTTTCCATGAGAGCTGATGGTTTTATAAGGGATTTCCCCCTCTTTGCTCTCATTTCCTTTCTTGTCTACCTTCACGTAAGACATGACTTTCACCTTCTACCATGATTGTGAGGCCTCCCCAGCCACATGGAACTGTGAGTCCATTAAACTTCTTTTTATTTATAAATTACTAAATCTCAGGTTTGTATTTATCAGCAGTGTGAGAATGGACTAATAGAGTTAGTCTTCTCTCATCTTATTTGGCCACTGCACAGCATAATCTTTCCAGCTCTAGAATATGAAGATTCTAAAATTTATAACCTAAGTGACAAAAGAGAGCAAATAGTCATTACTTAAAGATTCTTCCAAGAAGAACAGCTCCTTATCTGGCAGCAGCTACTTGGAGTATGCGTGTTTGGATTTGATGGAACTAGTCCTTTCTGTTGTAAAAATTCTTATTTGAATTATGAAGTTTCATATCTTTTGAACAGCTGAGTTAGCAGCATGGGGCATATGTGTGTCCTGCTTTAGTTCTGTAGAGAAAAACAGGCACTGTCTTTTCTGGCCAATCTTCCTCTTCACTGCTGCCCCAGCTGCTTCATGGTGTCTAGTATCACCCTCTGCCACTGAGAAAAAGAAGCATAGAGATATGACTTATATCATGGGCTGTTCTCCAACTCCCCTCTCCTGGGGCAGGGAGGAGAAGACAAATATAATTGTGTTTTGCTTATGGTGCCCTTTCTCCTCTTTCCCACCTATCCATTGTGCAGGTGTTTGCTTTTATGATATCTATAGTAAGTATTTTAGTGAAGCCCAGAGCAACAAAGTCTGCCACTGCTTTTAGTAAACAAACCAGTTTTAGTTATAGCAAAGCAGACAGGCCTTAAGTTGGTGCCATTTTGCTCAGGATTCAGTCACTGTGAGATAAATTGGTGCTAGAGCCTCTCCCAAGTGTCACATATTGTGATAATCTGTGTTCTGAAATTTCCTCAAAAGGTTTTCTGTTTCCTTGGAACTTTGCTCTTATCTAAGTTTCAGCTGGCTGTTTTTCAAAGACTTAGCAGGTTCATATGTTACCTCTCAACCCTGCTAAGTTACTTATAATTTGTCTGAGCTCTTCAATGTATAAATATAGTGGAATGGTTCTAATGGTGAACACAGCAGCCACTGTAACAGAACTGTGAGGACAGAGTCCTCCCATGGCAGAGAATTGGAGTATTCACTTCCTTAAATTTTCAGGTACCCCAAGATGTATATACTGATGGTGAGCAGTTCCTTATGGAGGCTGGTGGTGGAATAGTACAAGAACAGCTCTTTGGATATATCAATTTCTGCTAAAGGAGATCTGAGTCTAATGTATACAATTATAATCAAAGCAATAAAATAATGGCAATAATAGCTGCCTCTTATATAGAGCTTACTATGTGCTGAGAGTACTGTTTTAAGTAACTTACCTATATTAATGCATTTAAACCTACAAAGTAAATTTTGGTCTAGAGCTGTGGACACTTGGCAGCTTCCACCTACATTTTAGAGGATGTATTGGAAAGCCTAAGTACCCAGATGGAAATCAGTTGCAGGGACAGAGCTGCCAAAGCTACAGGGGCAGAGCCACCTCCACCAGAGCAATGCCTAGTGGAGCCACAGGGATGGAGCTACCACTGGGACTGCAGAATTGTAGAACTACTGGTGTGGAATGCCAGCCTGGAAAAACTGCAGGCATCCAACTCCAACCTGTAAGAGTAGCCATGTGAGGTGTGCCCGGGAAAGCCATGGGAGCAAGGCTACCCAAGACCTTGGGAGCCCACTCCTCACATCAGTGTGCCCAGGAGGTAGCACATAGTGTGAATTACTATACTAGAGTGCTAAGATTTAATGTCTGCCCTGCTGGGTTTCAGACTTGCTTGGGGCTTGTCATTCCTTTCTTTTGGCTTATTTCTCCCTTTTGAAATGGGAATGTTTACCAAATGTCTGTTCCACCATGGTATCCTGGAAGTAAATAACTTGTTTTTATTTTATAGGCTCATACCTGGAAGGAGCTTGCCTTAAGTCTCAGATGAGAATTTGAACTTTGGACTTTTGAGCAGATGCAGAAATGAGTTAAGACTTGGGACTATTTGAGATGGAATGATCGTATTTCGTATGTAAGAATAACATGAGTTTTGAAGGGCTAGGAGGAAAATGCTATGGTTTGGACATGGTTTGTTTGTCTCCACAAAATATTATGTTGAAATTTGATCCCTAGTGTGGCAGTGATGTGATGTGGGGCCTAGTGGTAGGTGTTTGGGTCATAGGGGTGGATCCCTCATGAATGGCTTGGTGCATTTTTTATGATAGTCAGTGAGTTCTTATTCTGGCATGACTAGATTAGTTCTCCCAAAAATGTATTAGCTCCCGTGAGAAGCGAGTTTGTTATCAAAGTCAGGATACTCCTTGGGTTTTGTCTCTTCACACATGTCCACTTCCCCTTTGACCTTCTCCACCATATTATGATGCAGCCCAGAGATCCTCCCCACAAGCCAGGGCCATCCCCTTGAACTTCCCTGCCTGCAGAACCATGAGCAAAATAAACCGCTTTTCTTTTTTTTATTATTATTATATTTTAAGTTCTAGGGTACATGTGCACAACGTGCAGGTTTGTTACATATGTATACATGTGCCATGTTGGTGTGGTGCACCCATTAACTCATCATTTACATTAGGTATATCTCCTAATGCTATCCCTGCCCCTTCCCCCCACCCCACGACAGTCCCCGGTGTATGCTGTTCCCTTTCCTGTGTCCAAGTGTTCTCATTGTTCGATTCCCACCTATGAGTGAGAACATGCGGTGTTTGGTTTTTTGTCCTTGCGATAGTTTGCTGAGAATGATGGTTTCCAGCTTCATCCATGTGCCTACAAAGGACATGAACTCATCCTTTTTTATGGCTGCATAGTATTCCATGGTGTATATGTGCCACATTTTCTTAATCCAGTCTATCATTGTTGGACATTTGGCTTGGTTCCAAGTCTTTGCTATTGTGAATAGTGCCGCAATAAACATACGTGTGCATGTGTCTTTATAGCAGCATGATTTATAATCCTTTGGGTATATACCCAGTAATGGGATGGCTGGGTCAAATGGTATTTCTAGTTCTAGATCCCTGAGGAATCGCCACACTGACTTCCACAATGGTTGAACTAGTTTACAGTCCCACCAACAGTGTAAAAGTGTTCCTATTTCTCCACATCTTGTCCAGCACCTGTTGTTTCCTGACTTTTTAATGATCGCCATTCTAACAGGTGTGAGATGGTATCTCATTGTGGTTTTGATTTGCATTTCTCTGATGGCCAGTGATGATGAGCGTTTTTTCATGTGTCTGTTGGCTGCATAAACGTCTTCTTTTGAGAAGTGTCTGTTCATATCCTTTGCCCATTTTTTGATGGGGTTGTTTTTTTTTTCTTGTAAATTTGTTTGAGTTCATTGTAGATTCCGGATATTAGCCCTTTGTCAGATGAGTAGGTTACAAAAATTTTCTCCTGTTCTGTAGGTTGCCTGTTCACTCTGATGGTAGTTTCTTTTGCTGTGCAGAAGCTCTTTAGTTTAATTAGATCCCATTTGTCAATTTTGGCTTTTGTTGCCATTGCTTTTGGTGTTTTAGACATGAAGTCCTTGCCCATGCCTATGTCCTTGCCCATGCCTATGTCCTTGCCCATGCCTGTGTCCTGAATGGTATTCCCTAGGTTTTCTTCTAGGGTTTTTATGATTTTAGGTCTAACATTTAAGTGTTATTCTAAGCCAAAAGAACAAAGCTGGAGGCATCACACTACCTGAGTTCAAACTATACTACAATGCTACAGTAACCAAAACAGCATGGTACTGGTACCAAAACAGAGATATAGACCAATGGAACAGAAGAGAGCCCTCAGAAATAATACCACACATCTACAACCATCTGATCTTTGACAAACCTGACAAAAACAAGAAATGGGGAAAGGATTCCCCATTTAATAAATGGTGCTGGGAGAACTGGCTAGCCATATGTAGAAAGCTGAAACTGGATCCCTTCCTTACACCTTATACAAAAATTAATTCAAGATGGATTAAGTGCTTTTCTTTATAAATTACCCAGTTTCAGGTATTCTGTTATAAGCAACAGAAAGCAGACTGAGACAGTCTCATTTCCATTTTAGAGTTGGGAAATCTGGGGTACAGAAGAGCTCAATGACTTTTGTGACGTCAGAGAGCTAGAAAGTGATAAAACTGTGAGTTCATCCCAACCAACTTTGGCCCCAGAGTCCATGCACTTAACGGCTTCTCAGTTCTTCCCTTACTCAATTCCTGCAATACTTCTCTTTGAGACTATCACATTGTCCTTTGTTAACTACACTTTTAATAGCTATGCTTCAAGTAGTTGTAATAGTCTTGGGGAGTTACTTTATTTCTATGTGCCTCTGTTTCAATGTAAGCAAAATGGGACATTTTTAACAGGGCTGGTGTGAGATTTGTAGGAGTTCTCCTACATAAAGCATATAGCATTGCTCAGGGCACATAAAGGGAGTTTGATGTTAACATAATTTGAATTTAATAACCTAACCTTGCCCAAGCCTTTATTACAAGGACTGTCAGACTTTCAGTACATCAGAATCATCTAGTCTGTTTTAAAAGTGCAGATTTGTTTGTCCCACCCCAATACTGATACAGAAGTCTCTTGTGGAACACAGAAATTTCCATTAACAAGAGATTCTACTATAGATAATTCTAAAACTATAGTTTGAGAAGCACTATGTATGATGAAATTCCCTTTCCCTCCACATCTGCCCTGTTATTCTCTCTAAATATGTGTACATCTAGGCATATGGGTGCTGCATTATGGTAATGTTCTATCTATATTTGGCATAGGAATATGGCCTTTATGAAGGTGCTGAATATCACCTGTGAGGTCATTCACCGGGGGAGAGAAGTGTATTCGTCAGTTTAAAGATCAGAATGCCAGATTTGAGTGGGAGGATCTTAATATATAATCAACACAGGGGAAATCAATTTCTTTTGCATTCTCTCTCTCTCTCTGTCTCTCTCTCTCTTTCATATCACAGATGGTATTAGCTTGCTCAGGGGGAGAACTTTGGGTAGTAGTCGGGATTTGACATCTTTTCAGTGATAACAAAATGACGCAGTAATCATACAGTAAAGAAGGAATCAAGGCGGAGTGTTGCAAGGTCCTGCCAGCTTTTCACAGCAAGGCAGCAGATGGAGTAGGTGGGCCTTATATAACTGAACTGCATATCCTTTTTGTCTTTTGCACTTCTTGTATTTGCTTCTTTTTTTCTCTCTTAGTATTTAGAAAAATAACTTTCTTTGAAAAAAATCCAATCTGTATCAGTTATGCTAAGTGGACAAAAATGTGAAATAGTTTGTTAGATAAAAATGTTAAGTTGAGGTTTGTTAGAGTGTTACAGAGGAGTTCAATGACTTTTGTGAGGTCAGAGAGCTGGAAAATGATAAAACTGGGAGTTCAACCCAACCAATTTTGGCTCCAGAGTCTATGCACTTAACCACTTCCCTGAGTAAATCGCATTCACTGAGAGAAAAGTGAGAGTCAGGGAAATGTAGAGCTGGTACCTTATGCTCAGCTGTCCCCCTCCTCAACTTGGGACTCACTTTCTAGTACTAAACTTCTATCCGTGTTTGACTTTACTATAGAAGGTGGGTCAGCCAACTTAATCCTACTACAAAGATGGTTGAAGCAGCATTCCTCTCACAGCTGTCCCCAGGGCCAGAGCAGGCATGGATAGCACGGTTTAACACTGGTAATACGTTTAGGGCATGCCAGTTTCTTCTGGTAGCCTCTGTAGAAAGTTTCACATTCTCAGCTCTAGGGCCAGATTGTCATCCATCCTCATGACAAATTTGTAGCAATTCTTAGATGATATGGGTTTAACCAAATTTATCACTATTGCGTATGTGTTTTAGTCCCTTAAGTCTTTGCTACGAGTATTGCATATTGTTTTGCTATAGGATATACTTTGACTACAACTCTTCAAAGTTATTTTAATCTGAAAACATAGAAAAGCACATGAAAAAATGTTTTAAAATGTTTAAAGTTTAATGGGGAGCAAAATACTAGTTATCTCATTCTAAGAATCTTATGCAAATAAATGTAATATCCAGGTTTTAAGGCCTGAGATTATGCTGTTGTTGGTGGATGAAGTGCAGGGCTGGGTGGTGGGGAGTCAAACAATGACATTCATCTTTGATCCTTTCCTCATTATGACCCAGTCGTCTTGAATAATTGACTCTACCAGAGAATTCCCATTCATAACGGGCACTGACTTGATTCTGCCTTATATCATATTTAGGTGAATACATTTCTACCTCCCCATTAGACTGTCAACTCCTTCATGAAATGGACTATGACTTTCAACTGAATTGTCTCCCATAATGTATTCTCAAAAAATGCTCAGTTGAAAAAATATAAGGAAAACAAACAAGCAAAAATCAGCTCTGTTAACTATACGAAATCAATTCTAGACCTATAAGTCGCCTTCATTCATAGCAATTTGAGATGACACTGAACTCTAATCATATCTGAGCATCTGGTCTCAGTAGGAGATATGGTCAGGCCCCATATTGCTCTTTCCAAGGAGATCAGCACAACAAAATTTCCTGTTCATTTCTTATAGAATAAATAGCTCTCCAGGTGGCTTTCTTTCTACCTTACTCAGATAGATACTATTCATATCTTATTGACAGTAGAGAGACTAAATGCAGTCTGAGCTGCTTAGCAAATGATTTGGAGATACCTGTCAGTGATACTATGTTAGTGAGGTTTGTCTAGACAATGCTGTGGTAACAGATTTCCCCTGCCCCATCTTGATGTCCAGACAAAACTAACATTCCTTTCTTTCTTTCTTTAAGTACGTTTCTAAGTCTGGTTGGCATGAGGAGCTCTGTTCCAGAGCCTCAGGGACACAGGCTGAGGGCATCTTATATTCTCATGGTAGAAGAAAGGAAATAGTGGATTTTCACTGCCTCAGCCTAGAAGTGGCTCATGCTCCTTTCACACACATTGAATGAGCCAGAACTAGTAGTATGGTTCTGCCTACCATTATGGGGGCTGAAAAATGTAGGAGAGCAGAAGGAATATTTGATGAACTTTACTGTCTGCAGAGATAAGCCAAAAAGCATATGAGAGTTTGAGTGGGTGGTGGTGAATTATTGCATTAAGGTGGAGCCTCATGACAGAGGGTTGGATGGTAGTGACAGGTATGAACAGTTGGCAGAGAGATAGTTTTATTCTAGATCATTTTGAATTTTGTGCCAGTAAGAGCAGCAGAACCACTTTTTGCCCTCCTTATGAACTAAATTAGTCCAGCAAAATATCAGAATCCTGGAAGTTTAGATTTGAAAAATATCCTGTTGATTACCTAACCCAAACTCCTTTTTGATACACTGCTGCCCTGGAAAGAAAAAAAGATCCTTGCTAAATAGCTGTAAAATGGAAATAACAATAGTAACAATCAATTAGTGTGGTTTGGGAGAATTCACTAAGATAATTGTTTGTAAAATGCTCAGAATGATGGCCTTGTACGTAGTAAGCACTATATAAATGTTACCTATTTTACTTGAATTGTTCTTTAATCTTATAGTAGGCTGAATAATGTCCCTCAAAATATGTCCATGTCCTAATTCTATGAACCTGTGAATATTTTACCTTACATGTCAAAAGTGACTTTGCAGATGTATTAAACATTCATGGTGAACTTTTTGTGTACCAAGAGTTGTTCTATTTGCTGGAGACAAAACAGTGTGAAAATCAGGCAAACTGTTTACCCTCATGAAGATATTCTGGTAGAGGGGTAGAAAATAGACAAAAAGTTGATCTGATAAGTGTGATGAAGAAAAAACAACGAAGTAAAGGGGAAGGTGTATGGGGGTGTGAGGGTTGCTAATGTTTCGTTTAGTAAGATAGTGAAGTCCTTTATATTAAGGTTACATTTAAATAGATACTTGGAAGAAGGGAGAGAACTGTGCACTGAGAGAGTATTCCAGGCAGAGGTGGGAACATACTTGATGTATTTGGGAATAGCAAGGAGTTAAGTGAAATTATGTAGAAAAACAGCAGTAGGAGTTAAAGTTCAAAAAGTTATTTAGCGTTTTGTATGCCAAAATGAAGACTTTGGATTTCACTCGGAGTGATTTAGTAAGCTATTGTAAACATTTTAATAAATGAGTGATGCAATATTACATGTGTTTTGAAAGGCTAACTCTGGTTGCACCGTAAAGAATAGGCAGTAGGGGTTCAAAGATGGAAGCAGGAAACTATGGGGCTATTAAAATAGGCCAAGCTGAAGATGGAGGTGGGGAACTAGAGTGGTAGCAGTGTAAATGGATGTGGCCAGATTATGAATGTTCTTTGAAATACAGCCAATATTTGTCCATGGATTGGATATAGGGTGTGAGAAGAAGAGTGAAGTAAAGATAACTCTCAAGTTATTTGTGGCATCCATAATGGAAAGGTTGTAATTACCGTTTAATGAGATTGTGAAGACTATAGGAAGAACAGATTAAGGGGTAAAAATCTGGAGTTTGGTCTTGGATGTGTTAAGTTTGAGGTTCACATTAAGGAAGAGATCTGGTCTGGAAATAGAAATTCTAGAGTCATCGGCATATTAACATAAGTACAGTGAACAGCCTGGATATCGTTTAAGGAGTGAGCATAGAGAAAAGAGATAAGGTTTAAGCACTAAGCTCTAGGGCTTTCCAACACCTGAGGCGGAGCAATAAATGGCTAGCAAAGGAGACTAATGATGACTAGCCAGGGGATGGGAGAAAAATAAAAAAGGGAGAGTGTAGTATCCAGGAATCTAAATAAATAAAATCTTTCAAGAAGGAATGAGTGGTTACTTCTATCAAATGTTGCTGAAAAGTCACATTAATTATCCATAGGATCTGGATTTGCCAAATAATTCAGCGAAGGTGGAGTTAAGTGGTATGCTATATAAAAATATCAGTACAGCCAATTCAACAGGAAGTACAAAGATAGAAATTGGGAAGCAAGATGGTGGAATAGGAGGTTTTCACTTGAATATACCCCCTGCAGCAACAATAATTTGTCAGCCATCCACAGGAAAAAAAAAAGTGTTTCTGTAGGACCTTTGGGATTGAGGTAGGAGTTTGTGAAAACTGAGTGGAGCCTAAGACTGGGAGGGGCTGTTTTGAGAGAGCAGGCCTGTGCCCTGCCTTCTTACTGTTTATGGTCCCAGCTACAAACCTGGATATTGCCTCATCCCCTTTTGGATTTAGCGTAAGCCCCATTTAGCCTTGGTTCTGCCACCAGTACTATTTTCTAAGGGACATGGGAGGAGTCACATCCAACTTATCCCCAGAGGCAGACCTTCAGACTTTGCTCCCTCTCTCAACCATTTTCCAGGAGAGAGCCTGTCTTCTCAAGGTCCCAGAGAGAGACACAATGTCTATGCCAATGGAGGCAGGCCTGCAGACCTTGGTCCTGTCTGTGCAACTTGAAACAGCCCCGTGACTTAATTCCACCACTGCTTAGCTGCAATCCAGGGTCAGTCTTGCCTTCCAAAGGATATTGATATGGTTTGGCTGTGTCCCAACCCAAATCTCACCTTCAATTGTAATAATCCCCACTGTCAAGGGCAGGGCCAGGTGGAGATAATTGAATCATGGGGGCGATTCCCCCATACTGTTCTCGTGGTAGTGAATAAGTCTCATGAGATCTGATGGCTTTATAAATGGGAGTTCTTCTGCACAAGCTCTCTTGCCTGCCATCATGTAAGATGTGACTTTGCTCCTCATTTGCTTTCAGCCATGATTGTGAGGCCTCCCCAGCCATGTGGAACTGTGAGTTTATTAAACCTCTTTCCTTTATAAATTACCTAGTCTCAGGTATGTCTTTATTAGCAGTGTGAAAACTGACTAATTCAGACATGCTCAGTGAACCAGTGAGAGCTTTCTAAGGGATGCAGTGGGAACCACACTGGTTTATGCACCTGGTAACAGACTTCTTGTTTGTGGATCCAACTGCAGATCCAATTGTAGGCCCTTGTTCCAGCACCAACCCCACTGACCAATTTCCTGGAGGCAGTCCTGTCTTCCCAGGGACCACATAGGATTCATGCTCAACTGAGCCTCAAGTAAAAGGCCTACCAACTGTAGACTTCACTACAGATCCAGCAGCATCCATGTGACCCAGCTCCAACCACACTTAACTGTGATACCAGAGGAAATCCCATCAGCCTGAGGGCCCAACAGGAGAAAGTCACTGCCTGCCAAAACCAGTTTGTAAAGACTGGAAGAGGTGTTTTCTCTTTCAAATGCACAGATACCAACACAAGGCTACATGCATGAATCATGAAGAATCAAATAAACATGACAACACTAAAGGGAACTATTAAATCACCAGTAACTGATTCCAAATAAATGAGAAGATCTACAAATTTCCTGACAAGAATTTGAAATAATCATCATACGGAAGCTTAATGGGATGCAAGAGGACTGTGTTAGTCTGTTCTCACACTGCTAGTAAAGAAATACCTGAGACTGGGTAATTTATAAAGAAAATAGGTTTAATTGACTCACGGTTCAGCATGGCTAGGAAAGCCTCAGGAAACTTACAATTATGGTGGAAGGGCAAGCAAACACATCTTTCTTCACAAAGCATCAGGACAGAGAAGAATGAGAGCAGAGCGAAGTGGGAAGCCCCTTATAAAACCATCAGATCTCACGAGAACTTACTATCACAAGAATAGCATGGGGAAAACCGCCCCCATGATTCAATTACCTCCCACCTGGACCTTCCCACCACACATGGGGATTATGGGAACTACAATTCAAGATGACATTCAGGTGGGGACACAGCCAAATCATATCATACCACCCCTGACCCCTCCCAAATTTCATGTCCTCACATTTCAAAACACAATCATGCCTTTCCAACAGTCCCCCAAAGTCTTAGCTCATTCCAGCATTAGTCAAAAGTCCAAGTAAAAAGTCTCATCTGAGACAAGGCAAGTCTCTTCTACCTATGAGCTTGTAAAATCAAAAGCAAGTCAATTACTTCCTAGATACAATGGAGGTACAGGCATTGGATAAATACACCCATTCCAAAAGGGAGAAATTTGCCAAAACAAAGGGCTACAGGCCCCATACCAGTT
Organism: Homo sapiens; assembly: GCF_000001405.40. Classification (NCBI taxonomy): domain Eukaryota; kingdom Metazoa; phylum Chordata; class Mammalia; order Primates; family Hominidae; genus Homo; species Homo sapiens. The sequence goes on along the minus strand of NW_025791818.1, from coordinate 109,647 downwards.
TGAAATCCAATGAGGCAGTAATTAAATCTTAAAGCTCCAAAATAATCTCCTGTGACTCCATGTCTCACATCTAGGTCATGCTGATGCAAGAGGTGGGCTCCCATGGCCATAGGCAGATCCACCCCTGTGGCATTGCAGGGTACAGCCCCCCCTCCCAGATGTTTCCACGGGCCAGTGTTGAGTGCCTGTGGCTTTTCTAGATGCATGGGGGCAAGCTGTAGGTGGATCTACCATTCTGGGGCCTGGAGGACGGTAGCCCTCTTCTCACAGCTCCAACAGGCAGTGCCCCAGTGGGGACTGTGTGTGGGGGCTCCAACCCCACATTTGCCTTCCATGTTGTCCTAGCAGAGGGTCTCCATGAGGGCTCCACTACTGCAGCAAACTTCTGCCTGGACATCCAGGTGTTTCCATTCATCCTCTGAAATCTAGGCAGAAGTTCCCAAACCTCAATTCTTGACTTCTGTGCACCCATAGGCTCAACACCATGTGGAAGCTGCCAAGGCTTAGGGTTTACATTCTGTGAAGCCATAGCCCGAGCTGTACCTTGGCCTCTTTTAGCCACACTGAAACAGCTGGGATGCAGGGCACCAAGTCCCTAGGCTGCACATAGCAGGAGGTACTGGGCCTGACCCAGGAAACCATTTTTCCTCCTAGGCCTTTGGGCCTGTGATCAAAGGGGCTGCCATGAAAGTCTCTAACATGCCCTGGAGACATTTTTTTTCATTGTCTTGGTGATTAACATTCAGCTCCTTGTTATTTATGCAAATTTCTGCAGCTGGCTTGAATTTCTCCCCAGAAAATGGGTTCTTCTCTTCTATTGCATTGTCAGGCTGCAAATTTTTCAAACTCTTATGCTCTGCTTCCTCTTGAATGCTTTGCTGCTTAGAAATTTCTTCTGCCAAGTCTTGCTTTGGCTATGTGGGCTCATTTTTGGTTCCATATGAATTTTAGGATTTTCTTTCTAGTTCTATGAATAATGGTGGTTGTATTTTAATGGGAATTGCATTAAATTTGTAGATTGCTTTTGGCAGTATGGTCATTTTTACAATATTGATTCTACCCATCCATGAGCATTAGAAGTGTTTCCATTTTTTTTGTGTGTGTGTTGTGTATGATTTCTTTCAGCAGTGTTTTGCAGTTTTCCTTGCAGAGGTCTTTCACCTCCTTGGTTAGGTATATTCTTAAATATTTTATTTTATTTTTGCAGCTATTGTAAAAGGGGTTAAGTTCTTGATTTGATTCTCAGCTTGGTCGCTGTTGGTGTATAGAAGAGCTACTGATTTGTGTACATTAATATTGTATCTGGAAACTTTGCCAAGTTCTTTTTCAGTTGTAGGAGCTTTCTGGAGGAGTCTTTAGGGTTTTCTAGGTAAATCATATCATCACCAAACAGCAACAGTTTGACTTCCTCTTTACCGATTTGGATGCCCCTTATTTCTTTCTCTAGTCTGATTGCTCTGGCTAAGATTTCCAGCACTATGTTGAATAGAAGTGGTGAGAGTGGGCAAACTTGTCTTGTTCCAGTTCTCAGAGGGAATGCTTTCAGCTTTTCCCCATTCAGTGTTATGTTGGCTGTGGGTTTGTCACAGATGGCTTTTATTACACTGAAATCTGGAGGTATCACATTATCTGACTTCACATTATACTATAAGGTCATAGTGACCAAAACAGCATGGTACTGGTATAAAAATAGGCATATACCAATGATACAGAATAGAGAACCCAGAAATAAACCCCAAATTCTTAAGCCAACTGATCTTCGACAAAGCAAACAAAAACATACAAGTGGGGAATGGACACCATATTCAACAAATGGTACTGGGATAATTGGCAAGCCACATGCAGGAGAATTAAACTGGATCCTCATCTCTCACCTTATACAAAAATCAACTCAAGGTGGATTAAGGACTTAAACCTAAGACCTGAAACTATAGAAATTCCAGAAGACAACATTGGAAAAACCCTTATAGACATTGGCTTTGTCAAGGATTTCATGACCAAGAACCCAAAAGCAAATGCAATAAAAACAAAGATAAATAGCTGGGACTTAATTAAACTAAAGAGCTTTTGCATGGCAAAAGGAACAGTCGGCAGAGTAAACAGACAATCCACAGAGTGGGAGAAAATCTTCACAATCTATACATCTGACAAAGGACTAATATCCAGAATCTACAGGGAACTCAAAAAAGCTAGCAAGAAAAAAACAATGCCATCGAAAAGTGGGCTAAGGACATGAATAGACAATTCTCAAAAGAAAATATACAAATGGCCAGTAAACATATGAAAAAATGCTCAACATCACTAATGATCAGGGAAATGCAAATGAAAACTACAATGTGATACCACCTTACTCCTGCAAGAATGGCCATAATCAAAAAATCGGAAAAAAAAAATGATAGATGTTGGCATGGATGCAGTGGACAGGGAACACTTCTACGTTGCTGGTAGGAATGTAAACTACTATGACCACTATGGAAAACAGTGTGGAGATTCCTTAGAGAACTAAAAGTAGAACTACCATTTGATCTGGCAATTCTGCTACTGGGTATCTAACTAGAGGAAAAGAAGTCATGATACGAAAAAGATACTTGCACATGCATGTTCATAGCAGCACAATTCACAATTGCAAAAATGAGGAGCCAACCCAAATGTCCATCAATCAATGAGTGTATAAAGAAACTGTGGTATATATATATATATGATGGAATGCTACTCAGTCATAAAAAGGAATGACTTAGTGGCATTCACAGCAACCTGGATGAGATTGGAGACTATTATTCTAAGTGAAGTAACTCAGGAATGGAAAACCAAACATCGTATGTTCTCACTCATAAGTGGGAGCCAAGCTATGAGGATGCAAGGGCATAAGAATGACCCAATAGACTTTGGGGACTCAGGGAGAAAGGTGGGAAGCGGGTGAGGAAAAAACGACTACAAATCGGGTTCAGTGTATACTGCTTGGGTGATGCGTGCACCAAAATCTCACAAATCACCACTAAAGAACTTACTCATGTAACCAAATACCACCTATGCCCCCCAAACCTATGGAAATAAAAAAATAAAAAAAAAGACACTTCTTATTCCAGATACTTTAAATCATCTCTCTCAAGTTTAAAGCTCCACAGATCTCTAGGGCAGGGGCAAAATGCCAGCAGTATCTTCGCTAAAGCATAACAAGAGTCACTTTTGCTCCAGTCCTCAACAAGTTCCTCATCTCCATCTGAGACCACTTCAGCCTGGACTTCATCGTCCATTCCACTATCAGCATTTTGGTGAAAGTCATTCAACAAGTCGCTAGGAAGTTCCAAACTTTCCCACATCTTCCTGTCTTCTGAGCCCTCCAGGTCTCTAGGAAGTTCCAAACTTTCCCACATTTTCCTGTCTTCTTCTGAGCCCTCTAAACTGTTCCAACCTCTGCCTGTTTCCCAGTTCCTAAGTCACTTTCACATTTTCAGGTATCCTTATAGCAGCAAGCCACTCTAGCAGTACCAATCTACTATATTAATTCATTCTTGTGCTGCTAATAAAGACATGAGGGAGACTGGGCAATTTAAAAGAAAAGAGGTTAGATTGACTCACAGTTCAGCATGGCTGGGGAGGCCTCAGGAAACTTAGACTTATTGTAGAAGGAGAAGCAAACACATCCTTTTTTTATTATACTTTAAGTTTTAGGGTACATGTGCACAACGTGCAGGTTTGTTACATATGTATACATGTGCCATGTTGGTGTGCGGCACCCATTAACTCGTCATTTAACATTAAGTATATCTCCTAATGCTATCCCTCCCCCCTCCCCACTCCCCACAACAGGCCCCGGTGTGTGATGTTCCCCTTCCTGTGTCCATGTGTTCTCATTGTTCAATTCCCACCTATGAGTGAGAACATGCGGTGTTTGGTTTTTTGTCCTTGAGATAGTTTGCTGAGAATGATGGTTTCCAGCTTCATCCATGTGCCTACAAAGGACATGAACTCATCCTTTTTTATGGCTGCATAGTATTCCATGGTGTATATGTGCCACATTTTCTTAATCCAGTCTATCATTGATGGACATTTGGGTTGGTTCCAAGTCTTTGCTATTGTGAATAGTGCCGCAATAAACATATGTGTGCATGTGTCTTTATAGCAGCATGATTTATAATCCTTTGGGTATATACCCAGTAATGGGATTGCTGGGTCACATGGTATTTCTAGTTCTAGATCCCTGAGGAATCGCCACACTGACTTCCACAATGGTTGAACTAGTTTACAGTCCCACCGACAGTGTAAAAGTGTTCCTGTTTCTCCACATCCTCTCCAGCACCTGTTGTTTCCTGACTTTTTAATGATCGCCATTCTAACAGGTGTGAGATGGTATCTCACTGTGGTTTTGATTTGCATTTCTCTGATGGCCAGTGATGATGAGCATTTTTTCATGTGTCTGTTGGCTGCATAAATGTCTTCTTTTGAGAAGTGTCTGTTCATATCCTTTGCCCACTTTTTGATGGGATTGTTTGTTTTTTCTCTTGTAAATTTGTTTGAGTTCATTGTAGATTCTGGATATTAGCCCTTCGTCAGCTGAGTAGATTGCAAAAATTTTCTCCTTTTTTTTTTAAAAAAAAAAAAGATGCCAGGAAGGAGAAGAATGAGAGCTGAGTGAAGGGGGAAGCCCCTTATGAAACCATCTGACCTCGTGAGAACTTAATATCACAAGAATAGCCTGGGAAAAACCACCCCCACGTTTCTATTACCTTCCACCAGGTCTCTCCCACTACATGTGGGGACTATGAGAACTACAATTCAATATGAGATTTGGGTGGGGACACAGCCAAACCATATCAAGAACACAGAATACTAAATGAAATGAGGACAATACATGAGCAAAATAAGAAGTTTAATGAAGAAACATAAACTGTAAAAAATGACCAAACAGCTGAAGAATGTGACAGAAAAGACAAATTCAAGACAGAGCTTCAGAAGCAGACTTGATCATATGATTTACTAATCCCACTACTGGGTATATACCCAAAGGAAATGAAACAATTATCTTGAAGAAATATCTGCACCCCTATGTCCATTTCAGCATTATTTACAATAGCTAAGATATAGAGGCAGTCTCTGTCCATCAACAGATGAATGGATAAATAAAATGTTGCACATATAGACAATGGAGTACGATTAAGCCATAAAAAAGTAATCCTGACATTTGTGACAACATGGATGAACCTGGAGGACATTATGCTAAGCAAAACTAGCCAGACAAAGAAAGACTTATATGTAGAATCTAGAACAGTCAAAGAAGACAGTAGAACAGTGGTTGCCAGAGGCTGTGGAATTGGGGAAGTAGGGAGATTTCGGTCAAAACTTTAACTTACAAAATAAGTTCTGGCAATATGATATACAGAATGGTGAATATAGTTAATAATAAGTATACTTAAAATTTGTTAAAGCTGTAGATCTTAAGCATTCACACCTCCTAATAAAGAAAAAAAGCAGAAACTATGTGAGGTAGTGGTGTGTTAATTTAGCTTGATTGTTATAATAATTTCACAATATATACTACGCCAAATTATATATTGTATACACTTTAACTGTATACAACTTGAATTTTCTAATCATGCCTCAATAAAACTTGGAAAATATAAAAAATCGGGGATAGGGAGTGAGTTTAGATGACTTTTTAAAAGAGTGTTGCTGTAAAGGCAGCAAATGAGATTGTAGCTGGGAGAAGACGTGGGTTTAAGAGAAAGGTTTCAAAAATGAGATGTATCACAGAATGCTGATGAGGATTCTCCAGTAAAAAGAAATAAGTAGTGATTCACAAGAGAGTAGAATTTCTATAGTGTTATCCTTAAAAGGACAGAGAAGTTGACACACAGTTCACAAGTGGAGGGGTAAGAGCAAGGACAGTTTATCCATAGTCACTAAAAAGAAAGCATAATATGTATGCACGATACTGGTGGGCAAGGAGATGTGGGAAGCATATAGACATTCTCTTCTGATGGCCTAGATTTTCTTAATGAAATAGAAAGCAAGGGCATCAATTGAGAGGGAGGATAGGAAGGAGGTGAGGCAATTTCAGTAAAGAGAAGGTGAGAAATGGTCTTCTTGGAGAGTGGGAAAATAGATGGAAAGGACATGTGGTAGGATTGTTGAACAGCACCAAAGATCAGCTTGAATTTGGAGAAGCCAACTTGGTTATGTATTTTTGGTCCAGTTACATTCACATATTCAGCTGCTCAGTCAGGCACGGCTTAAGAGTAGGCAATGAATTAGATTTAACCAGAATTTTGTTTTGCTAATTTAGTATGATGAAGGGAGATAGAGACAAGGAAGTTTATTGTGTTGTGTGCACAAGGAAGTGATTAGAATGATGGACCATGCCATGGACTTTAAGTTGGCTATGGAGGAATGTGATGGCATGAGTGAGGGCAGGGGAAAGTTGATAGAATAAATGAACTGTAAGATTTATCTTAGTACTCAATCAGCTGAATGTTTGTGTCATCCTTGGATATTGAGAAAATGCTCCTAAGCCCCATTCAGCAGCAGACAACATTTGAGTTCAATATGCGTAATGGAATAGATTCATATCCTGTTTGCAGGTAATGTGGAGTTGTACAAAGCGGGACAAGTGTGAATAGCTGAGGGCTCTAGTCCTGGTTCTTCAGTACCTTGTTGCCTGTCTCTGAGCAAGTCATTTCTCTTTTGGGAGTCTCAGTTTATTCATTATTTGAAATATGCAGAACATGATCTTTGGTTCATTTATATTAATTGCAGGGAGGAATCAAGTGAGATAATAAATGCAAAGGCATTTGGCAAAATGGAAAGTATTCTAAAAGCTACTATTTCTTTGTCACAGTAGTAATGACGACAGCAATAATAATGAAACCATTATTTTTTACATTTCAGAGATTGTTTTAATTACTTTAAATGTATTATCTCGTAATTCTTATGAGAGCATATTCTCTGCTTGCTATTATTTATTTCCATTTACAAATAAATAAACTGAAGCCTAGAAGGTTAAATAACTTTTTTAAGGTCAAAAAACTATTTCTGAGTATGTGGTTTATACACAGACCTGTCTGTCTTCAAAGCTGATGTCTTTTTGGTCAACATTTTGTTTGTAAAATTAAGATATCTGAATACATATCATTTATTGCGCTTTTATACTTATTATCTCACATGATTTCCCCCTCACCAGCTATTATAGATTTCACATGATCTATAATTTGTCTATAGTCATCTATTGGAGGCCTGTCTAATCTAAGTTCTGCCGCTTCAGCCTTGTGTAATTATCCAAATCTCCTTTGCTAGGCAGATAGAGTAGGGAGCTAAATATTATACTTTAATCACAGACTGAGCTGGTGGAAGCTGGCATTTAGTTTAATGAATCTCAATTTACCATTTCTATGGCTTGTACCCCAGGACATTTATTTGAGTACATGGCAGGTCTTTGTAACCTCAGTGCTAAGAGACTATGGGCATTTTTTTTTCCTGTGTGATTCAGAGGTTTTTGAATTATTTCTTTAGCCTCTTGCCCTGTGAAGATTCAGAATTTGGCAAATCTTTTGAGGGAGAGACCAGCTGTGCATTTAGCATCCTTCAAGACTCCAATTTTGTCATTACCGTCTGCCAAAAGTTCTGCCAAGGACCAAGTGTGGATTCTTATCTTTCAGCAGGTTCCAGATCTGCAAAAGGTGGTTGGAAGATGTGGGTGTTAATTTACTACTCCCTCTAATGCTTTCATATGTTATTTGTTCTTAGTCCTGCCAATCCTGTACCCCCAACCTTTGCCTCCTAATCACCTAGAGACTGTGGAAATAATTCTACTTTGCTTTAAGTTTTGGCTTAATCTCTTTATCTTCCTCTTCAGTTTAGCTTTGGAGTTTAGCAAATATCTTGAAGGAGAAATAAATTGTCTATTTGAGGCCTGTCTAATCTACATTTTTTTACTTCAGCTCTGTGTAGCTGTCAAAAAGTCCATCAGCAGCAGCTCTCCACCTAGACCTAGCTCAAATTCTCAAGCTCAGATCCATGTTCAGAATCAGGACATATTCTCGGAGACAGCTGTGGAGCCTCAGTTTACCTCCGAAAGACTGTCCTCATTCTGGAATTGTATTCCCTCTAGTCTTGCTTACTTCTACAGTTATTGGGTGTCTATAAATATATATATAATTTTTGAAATCTATCTTTTTTCTAATTGTTTTCAGTGGAAATATTGACCTGCCATGAACTATTCCATTTTACTCAGAAGTAGAAGTCAAATCCTGTAAGTTTTAATAAATAGTAAGTTTACTAAATAGTATTTTTGCTATTATTCAGTTCATAATATTTTCGATTTCCGTTGGATTATTTACAAGCATATTGCTTAACTTCTAAACAATGGGACTTTTCTAGTTACTTTTTCATTATTGTTTCCTAATATGATTATATTATAGCTAAAAAATTATTTTATGATTTTGTTCATTTGAAATATGTAGATAATTGTATTATGGCCCAGCAAAATGGACAGTTCTCTACATGTTGTGTGGGTATTTGGAGAATATGTATTCTATAGTTACTTGGTTTAATGTTCTTTTGCATATTCTTTGTCTTTGCTAACTTGTTTGTGTTTATTCCATCATTTACTGATGAAAGTGTATTAAATTTTACCATGTTTCTGGGTTTTTCTTTTTCTTCTTTTACTACTGTCAGTGTTTTCTTTAGATATTTTGAAGACATGTTACTAAGTATATAAATTTAGAATAGTTAATATTTCCTCATAAATTTAATTCTTAATTTTTACCTACTATTGTCATTTTTTTCTCTGGTAATTCTTTTTGCTTTAAAGTCTTCCTTATCTGATGTTGTCATAGCTATACCAGCCACATGTTGGTTAGAGTTTGCATGGTCTTTACCCATTCATTTACTTTCACTCTTTTCCCTTTATGTTTTGAAGTTGTGTTCTATAAATAGCATATAGTTGAGACTTGGCAGGATCCAGTTGGACAGTATTTAGTTAATTGGAGCATTACTCTATGTATAGTTACTATAATTACAAATACATTTGCATTAAAAATGTTCAGCTTATTAAGTGATTTCTATTCATTCCACCTGCCTATATTCTTATTTTCTCTTGCTTGCCTTATTTTAGAATGAATATAGATTGAGTATATTCAAGCATTCTAAAATACACATATATACTCTATTAGCTTGAAGATTTTATACCTTTTTGCTATTATTTTAGTGTTTACTATAAAAATGGAAATTCATTAACTCATAAGAGTTTAATATGAATTGACACTTTTACTTGCTTCATGAATGCTTTATCTATGACCTATCATTTATTTTTTGTCTTACATTCTTGTATTCCAGCAAGACATTATTGTTTATATTATCAGTACTCTTTTTTTTTTTTTTTTTTTTTTTTTGAGACGGAGTCTCGCTCTGTCGCCCAGGCTGGTCGGCTCACTGCAAACTCCGCCTTCCGGGTTCACGCCATTCTCCTGCCTCAGCCTCCCGAGTAGCTGGGACTACAGGCGCCCGCCACCACGCCCGGCTATTTTTTTGTATTTTTAATAGAGACGGGGTTTCACCGTGTTATCCAGGATGGTCTTGATCTCCTGACCTCGTGATCCGCCCGCCTCGGCCTCCGAAAGTGCTGGGATTACAGGCGTGAGCCACCGCGCCCGGCCTATCAGTACTCTTTAATATTATTACCATTTTATTTCATTTTGTTGTTGTTGTTGCATTCCCAAGCTTCCATATGGGATTACTTTTCTTCTGCCTGAAGAATGTGCTTCCAGTTTCCTTTAGAATATATTATGGACTGAATGCTTGCGTCCTCTCAAAGTTCATATGCTGAAGCCCTAACGCCCAATGTCACTGTATTTGGAGACAGGGTCTGTGAGGAGGTGATAAAGGTTAAATGAAATTGTAATGGTAGGACCCTCATTTGAAAAGGCTGGTGCCCCTATAAGAAGAGGAAGAGACACCAAAGTGTGCTTGCTCTCTCTCTCTCTGGCGTGCTCTCTCTCTCCCTCTCTCTTTGTCTCTCTCTGCCATTTAAGGACACAGCCGGAAGGCAGCAATCTGCAAGCCAATTTAATATTGCAAAAACTCACCTCATGCTCCCTTCCAGTCACTGGTCCCTTTCCATGGGTAGCCATTGTCTTGATTTTTAAACAGAATACTTGTACATGTTTTTAAATTTTATATAAATGGAATTATATAGTATGTTCTTTATTGCATCTATGTTCTTGCACTCAACATTATGTTTGTGATATTTATTCATGTTTAGAATTGTAGATCATTGGTTCTCAAACTTTAGCATCTATCACAATTACCAAGAGGGCTTGTTCAAGCACGAATCGCTGGGTCACAGCCCAGAGTTTTGATTCAGTATGTCTGGGGTGGAGGCTGGGAGTCCAGTTTTCAGGTGCTGCTAATGCTGCTGATCCAGGGGCCATACTTTGAGATCACTGTTGTAAATCATTCACTCTCACTGATTTATAGCAAAGATCAGCAAACTTTTTGTTAAAGGGCCAGATAGCAAATTGCACAATCCCTGTAGGTCAAGAGGCAAAATTGATGACTTTATGTAGGTAATTGTATAACTGTTAAAAATGTAGCCATTTAAAAATGTAACAAACATTCTTCACTAAGGGGCTATAAAAAAATAAGGGACTGGTCACATTTTTCCTGTGGGCTGCAGTTCATTGACTGATGATGCATAGTACTCCATTATATCACGATATTACAATTTGTTTATCCTTTAAACTGTTGATGGGGATTTGGGTAGTGTCCAGATTTTAGCTTTTACATATGAACACTGTTATGAGAATCCTCAAACATGTCTTTTGGTGAACACATGTATGGATTTCTGTTGGGTACATACCCCAGAGTAGAAGTGCTGTGGAATAAAGGTATGCATGTCTTCAACTTTAGGAGAAACTGCCGATTTTCTAAACCGGTTGTATCAATTTACACTCCCACCAACAATATGTGAGAATTATTGTTGCTGCACATTGGTGGTGTTCTGGAGCTGGGTCATACTGGCTTTCAAGGACCAATTGTGGGCATCTCTTCTCAATTCTGCATTCAGTGGTCTCAGGATGGCTGCCTGAAATTGGCTATGGTGGTAGTATTTACAGTATGGAGACTGGAAAAAAAGCCATAAATCAGGGATCTTATATATTCATTTCTAAGAGAGCCAGGTGTTCAACATTGACCATTATCTCATATCTAGACATTTTTGTCAACATTTGGTATTTAATACTTTTTGTCTACATTGTAGCTATTCAGGTGGTGGTATAGTACTATCCTTTGTGGTTTTAATTTGCTGCTTTGCATCTCTGATGAGAATGAAGTTAAACAGCTTTTCAAATATTTGTTGGATATTTTAATATCCTTTTCATTATGTTCATTTGTCTAGTTTTTTAGATAGGTTGTCTTTTTATCTCTATCTATGTTCTATCTATCTATCTATCTATATATGTATGTATGTTTATATATTCATGGTAGAAGTTCTTTGCCAGATATGTGTATTTCTAATGTCATCTCCTATCCTGTGGATTACCTTTTCATTTTTTATTGGTGTTTTTGATGAACAGATCTTAATTTTAGTGTGGTCTAAGTTACCATTTCTTTCTTTAATGGTTAGTGTTTTTTGTGTCCTATTTTTTTTTAAAAAAACTTTGCCTATACCAAAGTCACAAAGAGGTTATCCTTAAAGATATTTTCTATAAAATATTTATTATTTTACTTCTGACATAAAATTTTTCAACTCATTTGCAATTCGTATGGTGTGACTTTGTGATATAATTGCAGTTTTTTCCATATAAGTGTGCATTTAATATGGCACTATTTATTTGAAAGACTACACTTTCACCTCTGCACTGCAATGTCACCTTTATGAAAAAAAAATTGGGTGATAATATTTGCCTGAATTCTTTATTCCATTATATCTATAACCATTCCAGTTAGTATATCCTTGCACTAATACCACAGTTCTTATTTACCATAGCTTGATATATGGTAGTGTAGGTCTTCCAGATGTGTTCTTTTTTTTTCAAGATTGCCTCTGACTATTTTAGCTTTTTGCTTTTCTACATGGATTTTAGAATCAGCTTGTCAGTTTCCACAAAAATCTCTGCTGTTATCTTGATTGAGACTTGAGGTAGGTTGAAGATGTCCACAAAGTCTTTAACACTTCCCACAGAGGACTATGATAATGTCTTCTTGTTTTATTGATCCTTTTATAATTATGAAATAACTTTGTTTTTCTCTAGTATTGCTTCTTGATTTTCCTGATTACAGTTTCATTATCTGTTTTTTTGGTTCATGACTTCTCTTCATTCCTTTTATATTAAACTTTTGCCATGTTAATATTTAAGCTATATTTCTTGTAACTAGCATATATTTGGGTTTAAAAATCCATTCTGACCATCTTAATATTTTACTTGTAAATATTTGACTTATTTTTATTAAATTTAATTACTGATATATAATTTGGTTTAGAATATATTTGCCACAAAATCATCAAGTTTCTATTTGAATCACCTGTTTCATATTCCCTTTTACTTCCATTCTTGCCTTCTTTTAGCATAGTCAATGTTTCTATTTAGAATGTTTTTTTCTATTAATTTGTCAGTTATATCTTCTTCCGCTATTTTAGTAGCGACCTTAGAAATTACAGCAAGAATTTTTGACTTATTACAGTCAAATACAAACTATTTATACCACATCTTTATGCTACTAGAAACTTTAAACAGTGCTTACCCCTTTTTTCACCCTCCTGCATTATTTTTGTCAAGTATTTTCACTTCACATTTCATTTTGCATATAGACTGTACAAAATATTCTAATTACTGTTTTATGCAATCTAAATATATATTTACTTTTACCCATGTATTTATTCTCTCCGGTGTTCTTCATGCCCTTTTGCATTTTCATGTTTCCATCTAGCATAATTTTCCTTTTGACTGAAGAATTTTCTTTGTTTTTGTCTTGTTTTCTTTCAGTGTTGGTCTGCTGGTGAGGAATTCCTTTAATATTTGTTCATATGAAAGCCTCTTTATTTCACCCACATTGTTGAATAATATTTTCTTTGGGTGTAGAATTATATGTTGGTAGTTCTATGTGCTTATTTTTACTTTAGCACTTAAAAAATGTTATAACATTACCTTCTGACTGACCTTGTTTCTTTTGGGAATTCTGCCTTCCGTTTTCCAGTTGTTCTTCTAAATGCGGTGTCTTTTATTCCTCTGGTTGCTTTAAAGATTCTGTATCTTTTTTTTTTTTTTTTTTTTTTTTTGCAGAGCTAGCTGAGGTTTTATTTTGGACGAAAAAAAAGCAATTGAATTGTTTTGTAGTTGGAGGCATGGGCAAGGGTGGTCCTCAGGCAGTGAATTCCGCCGAGGGTGGGCTGAGGGCTAGAGCCGAGCCTCAGGTGTGTCTTCTGTTCCCTGTGCTCCCCTGCACAGCGGCCTCCCTCCCGGGCTCTGGGCAAGTCGCAGGAGGGGCAGGGTGGGAGGGGCTGCCGCAGCTGTTCACTTGGGCGGGACGTCAGAGGACGCGGACACCAGCTTCCCATCGCGGGTCTCGATCTTCTTCACAACCGGGGCCCTGGTGGAGCTGGTGCGGCTGAAGGAGCTGAAGCCCGCGCCAGAGCCAGAGCTGGAGCCCAGGCCGTAGCTGAGGCCGGGGCTTGTGAGGCCCCCATAGGCCGAGCTCAGACCACCTGCAAAACCGCTGGTGGTCTTCATATGAATACTCATGTTCTGCATCCCAGACTCTAGCTGGCTCTCTTCGCCCTCCAGCAGCTTCCCGTAGGTGGCGATCTCGATGTCCAGGGCTAGCTTGACGTTCATCAGCTCCTGGTACTCACGCAGCCGCCTCGCCATGTCCTGCTTGGCCCGCTGCAGGGTGGCCTCCAGCTCGGACAGCTTGACGTTAGCATCCTTAACGGCCAGCTCCCCAAGCTGCTCGGCATCTGCGATGGCGGCCTCCACAGGGAAGCCATCCGGCCTTTGAGGCCCTCAGTCTCAGCCTGGAGCCAGCTGATGTTCCGGTTCATCTCGGAGATCTCAGTCTGTATGCCGCAGGTCATCCCCCTGCTTCCCAGCCAGCACCTGCAGCTCCTCATACTTGACCTGGTCCATGCTCTCAGCCTCAGCCAGGCTGCGGTTGGCGATCACCTCGTACTACGCCTTGACCTCAGCGATGATGCTTTCCATGTCCAGGGAGGGCTGTTGTCCACGGACAGCACCACAGACGTATCCGAGATCTGGGAATGCAGCTCCCGGATCTCCTCTTCATACAGCTGCCTGAGGAAGTTGATCTCGTCAGTCAGCCCGTCCAGGCGAGACTCCAGCTCTACCTTGTTCATGTCAGCTTCATCCACATCCTTCTTGAGGAGGACAAATTCATTTGCCATCTCTTTACGCATATTGATCTCATCCTCATTCTCGTCCTTGAAGTCCTCCACCAGCCCCTGAATGTTGCCAAGCTCCGTCTCCAGCTTCAGCTTCTCCTGGCCCAGAGTCTCCAGCTGCCGCCTAAGGTTGTTGATGTAGCTCTCGAACATGTTGTCCATGTTGCTCTGAGCCATCTCCTGCTGCTGCAGGAGGCTCCACTTGGTCTCCAGCATCTTGTTCTGCTGCTCCAGGAACGGTACCTTGTCGATGAAGGAGACAAATTTGCCTAGGGTCTTGATATGCTCCTTCTCCTGGGTGCGCACGGCCTGGATGTTGGGGTCCACCTCCAGGTTAAGGCGGCTCAGCAGACTCTGGTTGACCATGACGGCGGTGATGCCTCCGATGCCGCTGGCCCCACCATAGCCTCCGCCCAGGCCACCCCAGAAGCTGCTGCTGCCCACTCGGGAGAAGCTGGAGAAGCTGATGCGGGCACCGGGCCCACTCGTGTAGAAGCGGCTGCTGAAGGCCCGTGTGCCAGAGGTGGACACCTTGTACGACTTCTGGGTCACCCTGATGGACATGGTGGAGGCAGGAGTGGAGGCAGGTGGGCTGAACCAGGCAGAGATTCCAGAAGGAGCAGAGAAGCTGCTTCTTGGTCTCTTTGTTTTTTTTAACAACTTGACTATGATGTGCCTAGGTGTGGTTTTCTTTTTATTTATCCTGTTTATGATTCACTGAGTTTTTTGATTCTGTGGGTGTATGTCTTTTATTAATTTTGTAAACTTTTTGAATATTATTTCTTTAGGTATTGCTCCTGCCCTATTCTTTCTCTTCTCCCATTCCATATTTGTTAGTTGTTTTTTTACTCTGTCCTACATATGTCTTATGCTCTATCTTTTTTTCCCGATTATTTTTGTTCTTGTGCTTCAATTTTAATATTTTCTATAATTTTGGAGTTATACAAACCTGTTCTTTTGTGTCACATCTCCCATTAATCCCACGCACTGAGTTCCTAGTTTTTTCATTGTAAGATATCCAGTTGATTTTTAGTTCCATTAATTCAAATTATCTATTACAGTTCTTGGTTCTTTCACATATTTTATTTAACTTTTTCTTTACTTCTTTTAAAAATATTAGTCATAGTTAATTTTAAAGTCATTTTCTCGTGATTTCACTATCCAGATACTATCCAGATCATGTGTGTTTCTGCATCTTTTTTCATCTTTTATTTTGATTTACATGTCATATTTTTTACCTCTTTGTGTATCTAGTAATATTTTTATTGCATGTCACGCACCATGTATAAAAAATTGTAGAGGCTTCAGATGAGATATTCCAGAGACAGTTCCACTTTTCCCCTTTTAGGCACATAAGTTGAGCATATGCTTAATTTAATCCAGTCAGAAATTATTCATGATGAGGGCTAGAGTGCAGTTTTATTAAAACTCAGTCTACGTCTGGTTTGCTTCTTTTCCCTAGGATGTAAGAGCATGGTAGATTTCTATTTTGTAATCTCTGAAAGCCTGGAAAATCCAGATCTGCTATTCACAACTTGCAGCCTCCTGGAGTTTCAAATTCTGGCACATGCTTGTTTCCTAAGAACTGGGTGATTGCTGAAGATTTTGCTTCACCTTTTTACAAGTATTTTACCCAACTATGCCAGAAGTCAGCAAATGTTCAGTGGGGAAAATCTGCTGAGCACTTGAGTATCATCAGCTTTTGTATTTGTCATACCAGCCTTGTCAAACTGCTAAAAGCTTTGCTGTTTTTTCTCTCTGCGAGCAGAGGCTCTTTGTCTGAATAAGCCTGGTCCTCAGCCTATTCTCAGAGTTGGTAAATTTTCCAAAGGAGAAAAATAGTTGAAGATTGTCAGCTTATAGTGGAAAAGATTCTCTCTCCTTGAAATTTTAATTTATTTAATCTTTGTTTCCACCACTATTTGGTACCTTTAACATGATGATTTTTGTAAATCATCCAGTTTTTTGTAGTTGTAGAAGATTGTTGCCTCTCACATACTTTTATTCAGAAGCATATTTGAATAGATTTTTTTTTTTTTTGACATGTAGTTTCGCTCTTTTTGCCCAGGCTGGAGTGCAATGGCGCCATCTCGGCTCACCGCAACCTCCGCCTCCCGGGTTCAAGCGATTCTCCTGCCTCAGCCTCCTGAGTAGCTGGGATTACAGGCATGCACCACCACCCCGGCTAATTTTGTATTTTTAGTACAGACGGGGTTTCTCCATGTTGGTCAGGCTGGTCTTGAACTCCCGACCTCAGGTGATCCACCCGCCTCGGCCTCCAAAAGTGCTGGGATTACAGGCGTGAGCCACTGCACCTGGCCTTTGAATAGATATTTTTGATGCTATTATAACTAGGATCTTTCAATGATTTAAATGTTTCTTATTCACTTATAGGACTAAAAAATTATTTTTCATATATTGTTTTTGTATCCAGCAATTTTACTAAAGTCCCACTGTAAATGTAACAGTTTATCCATAGATTTTTAAAGAATTTTTATGTACTCAATTATATAATATATAAACGACAGTTTTACACTTCTTTTTGCATACTTCTATTCTTATTAATGTGTTGAATTGTCTAGGACCTCCACTATAATGGTGAATAGTAGTGATGATGGCAGCCATTTTGTTACATCCCCAATCTCAAAGGCCAGTATTTTAATATATTACAGATAAGTGTAATATTTTGAATAGATATTTCTAGATACATTGTATCATATTAAGTTCCCTTGTATCCTTTGTTTTGTATTTTTTGGTATATATTAAATTTTATCAAGAACTTTTTGCTTATGCCTCTTTATATAATCAAAATTTTGTTCTCTAAAATATGAATGTGCTGAATTACATTTTAAAAATTTTAACCAGAATTGCCTTCCTGGGATAAATCCAGCTAGGTCGTGATGTATTAGGCTGTTTAGATATTGGTGGATATGATTTATGAACATTTTAAAGGATTTGTTCATTCATGGCCATGAGTCAGAATGGCATATAATTTTATTTGTTCATACAGTCCTTGTCAGGTTTTGATCTCAAGGTTATGCTAGCCTCAAAAAAAATAATTTTGGGAGTGTTATACCTTTATTTATTCTATGGAAGAGGTTTTGTTAGATCGTAATTACTTTCTTCTTGAATTATTGCTGGAAATTGCAGCAAAGCCATTTTGGCCTAGATTTTCTCTGTGGGAGATGTTTAGTTTTTAGTTTCTTTGATAGTTATAGGAATATTCAAGTGATCCTCTTGTTTTGGTTTTCTCACTGTTTTATTGAGATATAATCGCATGTAATGAAAACCACAAATCTTAAACAAAAAGATTAATTTTAACAAATGAATACATTAATGTGACCATCACCCTGATCGAGGTAAAGAATATTCCATGACCCCAGAAAGTTCCCTTGTGCCCTTTCCAGTCACTATCCCATCCTTTAAGTGACCATTCTCATATCATAGATGAATTTTGCCTATTCCTGCACTTCATATAAATGAAATCATAGGGTATATATTCCTTTTTGTGTCGCTTCTTTCACTCATCATCACAGTTTTGAGATCCATACCTGTTGTTGCATTTATCAGTAGTTCGTTCATTTTAGTACTAAATAGAGCCTGTATGACTGTACCACAGTTTGTTTATCGATTACACTGCTGTGGACTTTGTTTTTTCCCCCAATTTTTAGCTATTGTGAATAAAGTTGTTATGAACTTTCTTGCTCAAGTTTTTTTGTGAACATATGATTTCCAGTCTATTGGTTATATACATATGAGTAGAATTGCTGGATTATAGGTGTAGGTATGTTTGAGAAACTGACGCAGACTTTTTCAAAGTGGCTGCACTATTTTAAACTTCCACCTTTCATGTATGACAGGTCCAGTTGCTTCACATCCTTGACAACACTTTCTATTGACAATCAGTGAATGTAATTTGACGTTTTTCCCTTTCTTGTGAATGTGTAGTGATATTTGATTATAGTTTTAATTAGATTTTCTATGATGACTTGTAATGTACCTTCTCCTTGTTTCTTGGGCATTTGTATATCTTTATATATATTATTTTTAAAATTTTATTTTTCCATAGGTTGTTGGGGTACAGGTGGTACTTGGTTACATAAGTTCTTTAATAGAGATTTGTGACAACCTGGTGCACCCATCACCCGAGCAGTATACACTGCACCATATTTGTTGTCCTTTATCCCTTGCCCCCCTGCACTTTTCCCCCCAAGTCCCCAAAGTCCGTTGTATAATTCTTACGCCTTTGCATCCTCATAGCTTAGTTCCCACATATCAGTGAGAACATACGATGTTTGGTTTTCCATTGCTGAGTTACTTCATTTAGAATACTAGTCTCTAATCTCATCCAGGTCATTATTGTTAATTCATTCCTTTTTATGGCTGAGTAGTATTCCTTCGTATATATATGCCAGAGTTTCTTTATCCACTCGTTGATTGATGGGCATTTGGGTTGGTTCCACGATTTTGCTATTGTGAATTGTGCTACTATAAACATGTGTGTGCAAGACTCTTTTTGGAACAATGACTTCTTTTCCTCTAGGTAGATACCCAGTAGTGGGATTGCTTGATCAAATGGTAGTTATACTTTGAGTTCTTTAAGGAATTTCCACACTGTTTTCCATACTGGCTGTACTAGTTTACATTCCCACTAGCAGTGTAGAAGTGTTCCCTAATCGCCGCATCCACGTCAACGTCTACTGTTTTTTGATTCTTTGATTATGGCCATTTTTACAGGACTAAGGTAGTATCACATTGTGGTTTTGATTTGCATTTCCCTGCTCATTAGTGATGTTGAGCATTTTTTCATATGCTTGTTGGCCATTCGTATATCTTCTTTTGAGAATTTTCTATTCACGTCCTTAGCCCACTTTTTTATGGGATTGATTTTGTTTTGTTTTGTTTTGTGTGTTTTTCTTTTCTTACTGATTTGTTTGAGTTCATTGTAGATTCTGGATATTAGTCCTTTGTCAGATGTATAGATTGTGAAGATTTTCTCCCACTCTGTGGATTGTCTGTTTACTCTGCTGACTGTTCCTTTTGCCGTGCAAAAGCTCTTTAGTTTAATTAAGTCCCAGCTATTTATCTTTGTTTTTATTGCAATTGCTTTTGAGTTTTTGTTCATGAAATCCTTGCCTAAGCCAATGTCTATAAGGGTTTTTCCAATGTTGTCTTCTGGAATTTTTATAGTTTCAGGTCTTAGGTTTAAGTCCTTAATCCATCTTGAGCTGATTTTTGTATAAGGTGAGAGATGAGGATCCAGTTTAATTCTCCTACATTTGGCTAGCCAATTATCCCAGGACCATTTGTTGAATACGGTGTCCTTTCCCCACTTTGTGTTTTTGTTTGCTTTGTGGAAGATCAGTTGGCTTAAGAATTTGGGGTTTATTTCTGGGTTCTCTATTCTGTTTCATTGATCTATGTGCCTATTTTTATATCAGTACCACACTGTTTTGGTGACTATGGCCTTATACTATAGTTTGAAATCAGGTAGTGTGATGCCTCCAGATTTGTTCTTTTTGCTTAGTCTTGCTTTGGCTATGAGGGCTCTTTTTTGGTTCCATATGAATTTTAGAATTGTGTTTTTCTAACTCCGTGAAGAATGATGGTGGTATTTTGATGGGGATTGTGCTGAATTTATAGGTTGCTTTTGGCAGTGTGGTCATTTTCACAATATTGATTCTACCCGTCCATGAGCCTGGGATCTGTTTCCATTTGTTTGTGTCATCTATGATTTCTTTTAGCAGTGTTTTGTAGTTTTCCTTGCAGAGGTCTTTTGACTCCTTTGTTAGGTATATTCCTAAGTATTTTATTTATTTATTTATTTATTTATTTATTTATTTATTTATTTATTTTTGCAGCTATTGTAAAAGGGGTTGAGTTCTTAATTTGATTCTCCACTTGGTCACTGTTGGTGTATAGAAGAGCTACTGTTTTGTGTATATTAATCTTGGATCTGGAAACTTTCCTGAATTCTTTTATCAGTTCTAGGAGCTTTCTGGAGGTTTCTGGAGCTTTCTAGGGTTTTCAAGGTAATCAATCATATCGTCAGCAAACAGGGACAGTTTGACGTCCTCTTTACCAATGTCGACGCCCTTTATCTCTTTTTCTAGTCTGATTGCTCTGGCTAAGACTTCCAGTACTATGTTGAAGAGGAGTGGTGAGAGCAGGCATTCTTGTCTTGTTCTCGTTCGCAGGGGGAATGCTTTCAACTTTTCTCCACTCATTATTATATTGGCTGTGGGTTTGTCATAAGTGCCTTTGTTACATTAAGGTAGTTCCCTTGTATGCCAATTTTGCTGAGGGTTTTGATCATAAAGGGATGCTGGATTTTGTCAAATGCTTTTTCTGCATCTATTGAGATGATCATGTGATTTTTGCTTTTAATTCTGTTTATGTGGTGAATCACATTTATTGACTTGTGTATGTTAAACCATCCCTGTATCTCTGGTATGAAACCCACTTGGTCATGGTGGATTATTTTTTTGATATGTCATTGTAGTCGGTTAGCTAGTACTTTGCTAAGGATTTTAGCATCTACATTCATCAAGGATATCAGTCTGTAGCTTTCTTTTTTGGTTGTATCCTTTCCTGGTTTTGGTATTAGGGTGATGCTGGCTCATAGAATGAATTAGGAAGGGTTCCTTATTTCTCTGTCTTGTGGAATAGTGTCAAAAAGATTGGTACCAATTCTTTGAATGACTGGTAGAATTCTGCTGTGAATCCATCTGGTCCTGGACTTTTTTTGTTGTTGGTAATTTTTTAATTACCATTTCAATCTTGCTGCTTGTTATTGGTCGGTTCAGGGTATCTAATTCTTCTTAATTTAAGCTAGGATGGTTGTATTTTTCCAGGAATTTATTTATCTCTTCTAAGTTTTCTAGTTTATGTGTATAAAGGTGTTCATAGTAGCCTTGAATGATCTTTTGTATTTCAGTGGTATCAGTCGTAATATCTCCTGTTTCATTTCTCAGTGAGGTTATTTGGATTTCTCTCTTCTTTTCTTGGCTAATCTTGCTAATGGTCTATCAATCTTATTTATCTTTTCAAAGGACCAGCTTTTTGTTTCATTTATCTGTTGTACTTTTTTTGGTTGTTGTTGTTATTTCAATTTCATTTAGTTCTGCTCTGATCTTGGTTATTTCCTTTCTTCTGCTGGGTTTGGGTTGGTTTGTTCTTCTTTCTCTAGTTCCTTGAGGCGTGACCTTAGATTGTCTGTTTGTGCTCTTTCAGACTTTTTGATATATGCATTTAGGGCTGTGAGCTTTTCTCTTAGTATCACCTTAGCTGTATCCCATAGGTTTTGATAGGTTGTGTCATTATTGCCATCCAGTTTGAATAATTTTTTGATTTCCATCTTGATTTCGTTTTTGACTCAATGCTCATTCAAGAGTAGGTTATTTAATTTCCATGTATTTGCATTGTTTTGAGGGTTCCTTTTGGAGTTAATTTCCAGTTTAAATCCACTGTGGTATGAGAGAGTGCTTGATATAATTTCAATTTTCTTAAATTTATCGAGACTCGTTTTATGGCCTATCATATGGTCTATCTTGGAGAAAGTTCCATAGGCTGTTTAATAGAATCTGTATTCTGTTGTTGGATGAAGTGTTCTGTATATATCTGTTAAGTCCATTTGTTCCAAGGTGTAGTTTAAATCCATTGTTTCTTTGTTAACTTTCTTTCTTGATGGCCTGTCTAATGCTGTCAGTGGAGTATTAAAGTCTCCCACTTTTATTGTGTTGCTATCTCATTTCTTAGGTCTATTAGTAATTTTTTTAATAAATTTGGGAGCTCCAGTGTTAGGTACATATATGTTTGGGATTGTGGTATTTTACTGTTAGACAAGGCCTTTTACCATTATATAACGTCCCTCTTTGTCTCGCTGTTGCTTTAAAATTTGTTTTGTCTGACATAAGAGTAGCTACCCCTGCTTGCTTGTGGTGTCCATTTGCATGAAATGCCTTTTTCCACCCCTTTACTTTAAGTTTTTATGAGTCCTTATGTGTTAAGTGAGTCACCTGAAGGCAGCAGATGGTTGGTGAGTTCTTATCCATTCTGCAGTTTTGTATCTTTTAAGTGGAACATTTAGGACATTTACATTCAATGTTAGTATTGAAATGTGAGGTAGGGTTGCATTCATCATGCTCTTTGTTGCCTGCATACTTTGTTTTTTGTTCTTGCTTTTTAACTTCTATTTTTTTATAGGTCCTGTGTGCTTTACGCTTTAAAGATATTCTGTCTTGATGTGTTTCCAGGATTTGTTTCAAGATTTAGAGCTCCTTTTTGAAGTTCTTACAGTGGTGGCTTGGTAATGGCAAGTTCTCTCTGCATTTGTTTGTCTGAAAATGACTATCTTTTCCTCATATATGATGCTTACTTTCACTGGATACAAAATTCTTGGCTGAAGATTGTTTTGTTTGAGGAGGTTGAATATAGGGCCCCAATCCCTTCTAACTTGTAAGGTTTCTGCTGAGATTTCTGCTGTTAATCTGGTAGGTTTTCCTTTATAGGTTACCTGGTGCTTCTGTCTCACCGCTCTTAAGATTTTTTCCTTCCTCTTAACTTTGGATAACCTGATGAAAATGTGCCTAGATGAAGATCTTTTGAGGATGAATTTCCGAGGTGTTCTTTGTGCTTCTTGTATATGCATGTCTAGGTCTCTAGCAAGGCCAGGGAAGTTTGCCTTGATTATTCCCCCAAATATGTTTTCCAAGCTTTTAGAATTGTCTTCTTCCTCAAGAACACCGATTATTCTTGGGTTTGGTCATTTAACATAATCCCAAACTTCTTGGAGGCTTTGTTCATATTTTCTTGTTCTTTTTTCTTTGTCTTTGTTGGATTGAGTTAGTTTGAAGACCTTGTCTTCAAGCTCTGAATTTCTTTCCTCTACTTGTTTGATTCTATTGCTGAGACTTTCCAGAGCATTATGCGTTTCTAAAAGTGTGTCCACAGTTTCCTGAATTTTTATTGTTTTTTTCTTTAAGCTATCTATATTCTTTAGTGCAGTGTATATTGAAATATTTTGCCAATTTTTGTTGTTTATTAACCTTATTATTGTTTTGTAGAATTCTTTATATTTTCCAGATATGAGGTCTTTGTCACATATATATATTAAAATATTTTCTTCCATCCTGTGACTGCTATTGCACGTTCTTAATGGTGTGTTTTGTTGAACAAAGGTTTTAAAATTTGTTGAGACCTAATTTATCATTTGTTTTGTTTTATGGATATTGCCCTTATGCGTATCTAAGAAACCTTAGCCTACCTCAAAGCCTTGAAGACATTTTCCTATTTTCTTTCAGAAGCTTTATAATTCCAGCTTCCACACTGATATCTATAATCATTCTCAACATAATTTGGGAGTATGGTGTGAGGGAAGGTTAAGTTTCATTTTTTCCTCCACAGGAATATCCAGTTGTTTCAGCACCATTTATTGCAGACATTCTTATCTCCAATTGAATTGCTTTGAGGACTTTATTGAGAATCAATTGATGGTATATGTGTCAGTTTATTTCTGGACTCTATATTTTGTTCAACTTATTTATTTTTCTATTATGCTAATACCACACTGTCTTAGTTAATGTATCTTTACATTAATTAAGAATTTTGTGTTGCCTTATGGAGTTTAGAATAAATTTATCAATTTATATAAAAATTTTACTCAGCATCATAATTTTGAAAAAAAATTTTTCTATAAAAATCCTGCTAGGTAATTGTGTTGAATTTATCATCAAATTTGGGGAAAATTGATATCTTAACATTAAGTCTTACAATCACAAACATGGTATTATCTTTTTATTTAGATCTTTCTTAATTTTTCTTAGAAACTTATGTAGTTTTCCATATAACAGTATTGTGCATCTTTTGTTAAATGTATTTCAATGCCATTTACTCCTGATACTGTTGTTATTAGTCTTGTTCTTTGAAGTTTCATTTTTCAATGGTTGTTTCTAATAACTAAAACACAATTGATTTTTGTATATTGACCTTTTATGCTATATTACTTATTAGTGTTGGTATTATATTGTAGATTTATTTGAATTTTCATGTACAAATACAGTTGGCCCTGTGGGTTCTGCCTCCATGGATTCAACCAACTGCAGATCAAAAATATTTGAAAAACAAAAATGATGGTTTTGTCTGTACTGAGCACATGTAGATATTTTTTCTTGTCATTATTCCTGAAGCAATATAGTATAACAACTAGTTACATAGCATTCACATTGTATTAGGTATTACAAATAAACTAGTGATAACTTAAAGTATATGGAAGGATGTGCATATGTTATATGCAAATAGTATACTATTTTAGGTCAGGGACTTGACCATCTGTGGATTTTGGTATCTGTGATGGGTCCTGGAACCAACTGCCCATGGATATTGAGGACGACTGTATATATAAAATTATGAACTTAATGTACAATTATAAGTGTAATTATGGATTTTAAAAATTTTGTACTTTCTAAGTGTTTATTATTTGACCAATATAATCATTTTTTAGTTTTCAATATGTTTTCATACATTTATTTTCTTTACTTCCCCATTTAAAATCTCAAGTTGACAAATAATTGTATGTCTTTATGGGGTACAGTATGACACTTTCATATATGCAACAATTGTAGAAATAGAAAATCAAGCTAATTAACGTATTCATCACCTCACTTATTTTTAATGAGGTGAGAATTTTAAAATCCACTTTTAGCAGTCAAAAAATATAGAATACATTATTATCAACTATGGTTATCATGTTGTGCAATAGATCACTAAAATTTATTCTTCCTTTCTAACTGAAGCTTTGTATCCTTTGGCCAACATCTTCACTTTTGCTATCCCCCCTTCACTCTGTAGCCTCTGGTAACCACCATTCTATTCTGTGCTCCAATGAGGCTGACATTTTTAGATTTTACATATAAGTGAGATCATGCAGCTTTTGTCTTTATGTGGCCAGCTTATTTCACGTAGTATTATGTCCTTCAGGTTCATTCATGTTGTCATAAATGACAGGATTTTCTCATTTTTTTTAAGGTTGAATAGTATTTCATCGTGTATTGTATGAAACTTTTTGTGAACTTATGCTTTCATTTCTCTTGGACAAAAACAATATTTCATTGAATTGTTATCAGTTAACATACTCTGTAGGATTTCAGTATTTTGACTAATCTTGAGAATTACTTTTTGGCCCAGTAATATTCTTTCATATTTGATATGCCATAATTCTAAAAAATAATGTATATCTTGTAGCTGCTAGTGTACTATTTTATAAATTCCAGTAAGTTCAAATTTGCTGAGAGTGTTGATCACTATAGTGTTTCTGTTACTGTTTTCTTTTGATCAGTTCTTCTATCATTTCCTGAGAAAGACATACTAAAATTTGCACTTCGGCCTGTGGATTTTTTCTCTCTAATTTTGTCAAATTTTGCATTTTCTATTTTGAAGCTCTGTTATTCATCACATTTGATTATTTTGTCGTCTTCATGAATTAAATATTTTATTATTATGAAATCACTTTTTATATATCTAGCAATAAATAAGTCTGTTAAGACTTTGTTTTGAAGCCTGCTCTCTTTGATATCCATGTAGCAAATCCAGACTTTTAAAAATAGTCTTTATTTTTTAGAGAAGTTTTAGGGTCACAGTAATATTGAGCAGAAGGTACGGAGTTCCTATATACCCTCTGCCTCCTCACATGCAAAACTTTCTTGATTATCAACATCTGCCATCTAAGTGATACCTTCCTTACAATTGATAAACCTACATTGACACATCATTATCACCTCAAGTCCATAATTTACGTTAGGATTTACTCTGTGTGTTTTTGTTTGTTTGTTTGCTTGTTTACAGGATCTGGCTCTGTCACCCAGGCTGGAGTGCAGTGGCAAGATCTCGGCTCACTGCAGCATCTGCTTCCCAGGATCAAGTGATCCTCCCAGCTCAGCCTCCTGAGTATCTGAGACTACAGGTACGGGCCACCGTGCCCGGCTCATTTTTGTGGATATGGGGTTTTGCCATGTTTCTCAGACTGGTCTTGAACTCCTGGGCTCAAGCAATCCACCAGCGTCAGCCTCCCAAAGTGCTGTGAGCCACTGTACCCAGACAGGATTTACTCTTGATATTGTGCATTCTATGAATTTGGACAGAAATGTGTAATGCTATGTATCCACCATTATGGTATTATACAGAGTAGTTGCACTGCTCTAAAATTCCTCTGTTCTCTGCCTGTAACTCTTCCCTCTCCCCAGTCCCTGTGTATTAGCTCATTTATTTTTCCAGCTTTATTGAGGTATAAATGACAAAAATTATATATGTTTAAATTTCACCATGTGATGTTTTGATATATGTATACATTGTGAAATGATTACCACAATAAAGCTAATTAACGTATCCATTAGCTCACATAGTTACAATTTTTTTGAGGTGAAAATATTTAAAGTCTACTCTCAGTTAATTTTGAGTACATATATAGTACTATTAACTACAGTCACCATGCCATACATTAGATCCCCAGAACTTGTTCATCTTGCATAACTGAAACTTTGTACTCTTTGACCAATGTCGCCCCATTTTCCCTCACCCGTATCCTGGCAACCACCATCCTTCTGTCTGGTTCTACGAGTTTGACTTTTTAGATTCCACACGTAAGTGACATCAGGCAGTATGTGTCTTTTTGTCCCTAGGTTATTTCATTTAACATAACGTCCTCCAGGTTCATACATGTTGTTGCAATCGAGAGGATTTTCTTTTTAAAAAACTGAATAGTGCCATTATATATGTGTGTGTATATATACATATACAATATATACACATGTGTATATAATATATAATCATATATAAATGAACACTATATATATGTACACCACATTTTCTTTATTCATCCATTGATGGACACTCAGTTTGCTTCCATATATTGGCTATTGTTAATAATTCTCAAATGAACATAAGAATGAAGACATCTCTTCCAGATTCTGATTTCATTTCCTTTGGTTATATACCCAGAGGTGGGACTACTGGATCATATAGTAGTTCTATTTTTAGCTTTTCAGGAACTCCATACTGTATTCCACAATGAAACTGCCCATTTACATTCTCATCAACAGTGTACAAGGGTGCCCTTTTCTCCACACCTTTACCAACTCTTTTTTTTTTGTCATTGTGATAATTGCCATCCTAACAGGTGTGGTGATATCTTATTGTGGTTTTGATTTGCATTTCCCTGATAATTGGTGGTGTTGAACATACTTTATTACACCTATTGGCAATTTGTATGTGTTTTTTTGAGAAATGTCCTTTGCCCATTTTTAATTATGTTATTTGTTTTCTTGCTATTGAGTTGTTTAAATTCCTAATACATTTTAAATATTAACCCCATCTCAGAAATGTGGTTTAAAAACATTTTCTTCCATTCCATAGTCTTTTTATTCTGCTGATAATTTGATTTGCTATGCAGAAGCTTTTTTTATTTCATGTAGCCTCATTTGTCTATTTTCGCTTTTGGGTTGTGTCCTTTTGAGGTAATATCCAAGAGAGTATTGCCTGGAACACTGTCAAGAAAATTTTTTCCTATGTTTTCTTCTAGGAATATTACAGTTTCGGGTATTACATTTAAGTCTATATTCTATTTTGAGTCTATTTTTGCATATGGTGTAAGATAAGTGTCCAATTTTATTCTTCTACAAGTGGAGGTCCAGTTTTCCAAGCACCATTTATTGAAGAGAATATCCTTTCCCCATTGTGTGTTCTTGGCTGCTTTGTCAAAGATCAATTGACTATAAATGTGCAGATTTATCGCTGATCTCTCTATTCTGTTCCTTTGGTCTATTTGTCTACTTTTAGGCCAGTACCATTCTGTTTTGATTACTATAGCTTTTTGGTATGTTTTGAAATCAGGTAGTGTGATGACTCCAGTTTTGTTCTTCTTCCTCAAGATTGCTTTGGCTATTCAGGGTCTTTTGTGCTTTTATACAAATTTTAGGATTTTTTTCTATTTCTTTAAAAAAAAGGCATTGGAATTTTGATAGGAATTGCATTGAATCTGTAGATCACTTTGAATGTATGGAAAATTTTAAAATATTAATTCTTCCAAATAATGAGCATGTGATATATTTCCATTTATTTTGTCTTCTTTAATTTTTTCATCAATGTTTGATAATTTTCAGTGTCCAGATATTTCACCTCCTTAGTTAAATTTACACCTAAGTATTTTTTTTGCTATTATAAATGGGATTATTTTCTTAATTTCTTTTTCAGATAGTTTGTTGTTACTCTGTAGAACTATTAACTGCTTTTTCCTGTTGAATTTGTTTCCTGCAACTTTACTACATTGGCTTATTAGTTCTCATCAGTGGGCCTGGAGCCTGGGGCCATGGAGGCAGGTCTGGCACTGGAGTGTGCCTGGAGCCTAGGTTGTGGAGATCTTTCTGGAGACTGGGTACATGTGGCAGTCGGGAGGGCCTGAAGTCTGGGTTTGTAAGGGTTGACCTGGTGCCCAGGAACACTGGGGTGGTCCTGGTGCTGGGGTCTGCAGTGAAGTCATGTGCTCACTTCAGTCTCCTTCCCACATATTGAGGGTATATCCAAACTGCACTATACACACATGGGGAAGGGGTGATGGAGTAATGTAAAACTGTTCTTATTACCCTCATCTATGCATCTTTTCTTATTTCTGTGCTCCACCCAGGTTCTGTAATCTATCATTTGGATTCCTTAGGATTTATAAAGATATTTTCATGTATGTATTGTTATTCAAATTGATGTTCTGAGAGGGGATAAGTGCTGAAAGGTAGTCTGCCGTCTTGCTGACTTTACGCTTCCTCAGCGTTTTTATGCTTATTGCTGGCATAGTATTTTTTTCAACCCTTTTACTTCCAACCTACCTGTCTTAAATATAAAGTGCAAATAGATAGCATATAGTTTGGTCTTGCATTTTTTATTCCATATTGATAATTTATATCCTTTAGTTGGAGTATTTGATAGATTTACATTTAATATAATTATTGATATGGTTGGATCATTTACTCAGATCTATCATTTAATATTCATTTTCTATTTGGAGAATCAATTTCTTGTTTCCTTTTACTCTTTTCCTGTGTTAACTTGGGTTAATTAGATATTGTTTTAGAATTGCATTTTAATTTATCTATTGCTTCCAGCCAGCTCACTTTGCATTATTTTTTAGTGACTGCTCCAGTGATTCTACAGGTATCCTTAAATTTACTTCCTTCTTTTTGGTGGGTGAGAGGTAGGTAAGAACATTTAACATGAGATCTACCCACTCAACAAAATTTTTAAGTGCACAATACAGTGTTGTTAACTATAGGCACTATGTTGTATAGCAGATCTCTTGAACTTATTTATCTTGCAGAACTGAAACTTCATACCCAGTGAACTACCAATTTTCCCTTTCCCCCCAGGCCCTGGCAAACATCATTTTACTCTCTCCTTCTGATACGTACCCAAAGATGGGATTACTGGATCGTATGGTAGTTCTATTTCTAATTTTTGAGGAATTTCCCTAGTGTATTCCACAATGACCGTACCAATTTACATTCCCACCAACAATGCTCAAGGGCACCCAACACTTTTTATCTTTTTTTGTTTTGGTAATAGCCTTCCTAACAGATTTGATGTGATATCTCATTGTGGTTTTGATTGGTATTTCTCTGATGATTAGAGGTGTTGACCATTTTTAATTTAATTTTATTTTATTTTATTTTGTTTTATTTATTATACTTAAAGTTCTGGGATACATGTGCAGAACGTGCAGGTTTGTCACATAGGTATATATGTGCCATTGTGGTTTGCTGCACCCATTCAACCCATCATCTACATTAGGTATTTCTCCTAATGCTATCTCTCCCCTCGCCCCCCACTTACCGACAGGCCCTGGTGCATGATGTTCCCCTCCCTGCATCCATGTGTTCTCATTGTTCAGCTCCCACTTATGAGTGAGAGCATGCAGTGTTTGGTTTTCTGTTCCTGTGTTAGTTTGCTGAGAGTGATGGTTTCCAGCTTCATCCATGTCCCTGCAAAGGACATGAACTCATCCTTTTTAATGGCTGCATAGTATTCCATGGTGTATATGTGCCACATTTTCTTTATCCAGTCTATCATTGATGGGCATTTGGGTTGGTACCAAGTCTTTGCTATTGTGAACAGTGCTGCAATAAACATACGTGTGCATGTGTCTTTATAGTAGAATGATTATAATCCTTTGGGTATATACCCAGTAATGGGATTGCTGGGTCAAATGGTATTTCTGGTTCTAGATCCTTGAGGAATCACCATTTTTAAATACACCTGTTATACATTTGTATATCTTCTTTTGAGAAATGTCTATTCAGGTTTTTTGCCCATTTTTAAATTGGGTCATTTTCTTGCTACTCAGTTGTTTGAGTTCCTTATATATTTCAGATATTAACCCTTTATCCAATGTATGGTTTGCAACTGTATTTCCTATTTCCATTCTGTAAGTTGTCTCTTTACTCTGTTAATTGTTTTCCTTTCTGTGAAGAAGCTTTTCAGTTTTATGTAGTCCCACCTATGTATTTTTGCTTCAGTTACCTATACTTTTGGTGTCATATCCAAGAAATCATTGCCAAGAACAAAGTCAAAAGCTTTTCCTCCATGTTTTCTTTTAGGAGTTTTGCAGTTTCCGATATTATGATTAAAACTTTAATCCAGTTTGAGTTAATTTTTGTGTATGGTATAAGAGTCCAATTTTATCTTGTTGCATGTGGATATCCACTTTTTCCAATGCTAGTTGTTAAAGGGACTATTTTTCCCCATTGTGTATTTTTGCCACTATTGTAGAAGATCACTTGAGCATATATGTGTGGGTTAAGGTTAGGTGCTCTATTTTGTTCCATTGGTCTACATGCCTGCATTTATGCTAATACCGTACTGTTTTAATTAATGCAGCTTTGTATTACAGCTTGAAATAATGAAGTGTGATGACTTTTGTTTTGTTCTTCTTGCTCATGAGTATTTTGTCTACTTGGGGTCTTTATGGTGCCGTGTAAGTTTTAGAAGTGTTTTTTCTATTTCTGAAAAAAAATGAAATTTTCATGGGGATAGTATTGAATCTGTAGATTGCTTTGGTGGTATGGACATATTATCAATATTAATTATTCCAAATGATGAACTCAACATGTCTTTACATTTACATGTGTCATCCTTATTTTTTATCAG
This sequence comes from Homo sapiens, assembly GCF_000001405.40. NCBI lineage: Eukaryota > Metazoa > Chordata > Mammalia > Primates > Hominidae > Homo > Homo sapiens. Next base: position 78,074 of record NW_025791818.1, on the reverse strand, counting down.
TGTCTTATACTTTTCATCATACAAATCTTTCTCCTCCCTAGTTATGTTTATTCTCAAGTATTGAAGTTTTAGATGCTATTGTAAATGGGATTGTTTTATTAATTTCATTTTAGGTTAATTTATTGTTAATGTATAGAAATGCAAGTAATTTTTGTATATAGATTTTGTATCCTGCCACTTTACTGAATTCATGTATTATTTCCAACAGTTTTTTTGTTTTTGGTCCTTAAATTTTCTATATGTCATCTGCAAACAGAGATAATTTTACTTCTTACTTCTTGATTGGATGTATTTTATTTCTTTTTCTTGTCTAATTTTCCTGACTAGGGGTTCTAGTCCTGTGACATGTGGAAGTGGGAAGAAGGGTAAACCTTGTGTTATTGCTCATCTTAAAGGAAAAGCTTTCAGTTTTTCACCATTGAGTATGATGTTAGCTGTGGGCTTATCATATATGACCTTATTTATTTTGAGGTATATTCCTTGTATACCTAATTAGTTGAGAGAAACCATCATTCTCAGCAAACTAATACAGGAACAGAAAACCAATCATCACATGTTCTCACTCATAAGTGGGAGTTTAACAATGAGAACACATGGACACAGGGAGGGGAACATCACACATCCGGGCCTCTCAGGGGGTGGGGGACTAGGGGAGGGATAGCATTGGGAGAAATACCTAATGTAGATGACGGGTTGATGGGTGCAGCAAACCACCATGGCACGTGTATACCTATGTAACAAATCTGCACGTTCTGCACATGTATCCCAGAACTTAAAGTATACTAATAATAAAAAAGTTGTGTTGAATTTTATCAAACTTTTTGCATCTGTTGAAACAATCGTGATTTTTATCTTTTATTCTGTTAATATGGTGTATCACATTTAGTAATTTCCATATATTGAGCCAGCTTTTTATCTCAAAAATAAATAATACTTGGTCATGCTGTATGATCCTTTTTAATTTTTTTTTTAAGTTCTGGGGTATATGTGCAGGATGTGCTGGCTTGTTACATAGGTAAACATATGCCATGGTGGTTTGCTGCACCTATCAACCCATCACCTAGATATTAAGCCCAGCATGCATGAGATCTTTTCCCTAATGCTCTCCCCACCCCCACCCTCCCCTGACAGGCTCCAGTGTGTGTTGTTCCCCTCCCTGTGTCCATGTGTTCTCATTGTTCAAATCCCACTTATAAGTGAGACCATGCAGTGTTTGGTTTTCTGTTTCTGTGTTAGTTTGCTGAGGATAATGGCTTCCAGCATCATCCATGTCCCTGCAAAGGACATGATCTCATTCCTTTTTATGGCTGCATAGTACTCCATGGTGTATACGTACCACATTTTCTTTATCCAGTCTATCACTGATGGGCATTTGGGATGATTCCATGTCTTTGCTATTGTGAGTAGTGCTGCAATGAACATACATGTGCATATATGTTTATAACAGAATGATTTATATTCCTTTGGGTATATACCCAGTAATGGGATTGCTGGGTTAAATGGTTTTCTGCCTCTAGATCTTTGAGGATTCATCACACTGTCTCCCACAATGGATGGACCAATTTACATTCTCACCATCAGTGTAAAAGTGTTGCTATTTCTCCATAACCTTGCCAGCACCTGTTGTTTCTTGACTTTTTAACAATCATCATTCTGACTGGCGTGGGATAGTATCTCATTGTGGTTTTGATTTGAATTTCTCTAATGACCAATGATGTTGAGCTTTTTTTCATATGTTTGTTGGCAGCCTGTATGTCTTTCTTTGAAAAGTGTCTGTTCATGTACTTTGCCCACTTTTTAACGGGCAAAGATTTTATGATGAAATCGCCAAAAGCAATTGCAACAAAAGCAAAAATTGACGAATGGGATTTAATTAAACTAAAGAGCTTCTGCATAGCAAAAGAAACTATCATAAGAGTGAACAGACAACCTAAAGAATGGGAGAAAATTTTTGCAATCTATCCATCTGACAAAGGTCTAATATCCAGAATGTACAAGGAACTTAAACAAATTTGTGTGTGTGTGTGTATATATATATATATATATATATATTTTTTTTTTTTTTTGAGATTGATTCTCACTCTGTCACCCAGGCTGGAGTGCAGTGGTGTAATCTCAGCTCACTGCACTCTCCACCTCCAGGGTTCAAGCAAGTCTCCTGTCTCAGCATCCTGAGTAGCTGGGACTACAGTCGCACACCACCATGCCTGGCTGATTTATGTATTTTTAGTAGAGATGGGGTTTCACCATATTGGTCAGGCTGGCCTTGAACTCCTGACCTCAGGTGATCCACCTGCCTTGGCCTCCCAAAGTGCTGGGATTACAGGCCTGAGTCACCGTGCCCAGCCTGTATGATCCTTTTAATGTGCTGTTTAATTCAGGTTCTCATATTTTGTTGAAGATTTTCACATCTATATTCATCAGGGGTCATTTCCTATAATTTTCTTTTCTTGTAGTGTTCTTTTGTGGCTTTGGTATCAGGGCACTACTGGCCTTGTAAAAGCAGTTTGGAAGTATTTCCTCTGCTTTTTGGAACAGTCTGAGAAGGATTAGTATTAATTCTTTAAGTATTTGGTAGAATTCTGGCCGGGTGCTGTGGCTCACGCCTGTAATCCCAGCACTTTGGGAGGCTGAGACGGGCAGACCACGAGGTCAGGAGATCTAGACCATCCTGGCTACACGGTGAAACCCCATCTCTGCTAAAAAAAATACAAAAGATTAGCCGGGCGTGGTGGCACACGCCTGTAGTCCCAGCTACTTGGGAGGCTGAGGCAGGAGAATCGCTTGATCCTCAGGAGGTGGAGGTTGCAGTGAGCCGAGATTGCACCACTGCACTCAAGCCTGGGTGACAGAGTGACACTCTGTCTCAAAAAAGAAAAAAATGTATATATATACACACACACACACATATACACACACACATATATACGTATATATGTATATTTGGTAGAATTCATCAGTGAAGCCATCAGGTCCTGGGCTTTACTGTGTTGGATTGTTTTTGATAACTAATTCAATCCTCTTGTTAATTTTCTGTTCATGTTTTCTATTTCTTTATGATTCAGTTTTAGTACATGTTATGGTTCTAGGAAATTAGTCATTTCTCCTAGGTTGTTCTATTTATTGGTGTATAATTGTTCATAGTAGTCTCTTCTGAGCCTTTGTATTTCTGTGATACTATTTGTAATGTCTCCTCCTTTATTTTCTCTTTGTTTCTTAGTTATTTCAGTTAATGTTTTGTCGATTTCATTGATCTTTTCAAAAAGATGCAACTGTTAGTTTCACTGATTTTTTAAATTTTGTTTTTCTATTTTCTTCATTTAATTTTGCCCCAATCTTTATTATTTCTAAAGTTAGATTGTTTATTTATGATCTTTTTTTTTCTTTTTAAATGTAAGCGTTTATTGCTATTCACTTTTCTGTTAGTACTGCTTTTGCTGCATCAGATCTCATGAGCTTTATTCACTATTACGAGAATAGCACAGGAAAGACTGGCCCCCATGTTTCTGAGGCCTCCCCAGCCATGAGGAACTGTAAGTCCAATTAAACCCCTTTTTCTTCCCAGTCTCGGGTATGTCTTTATCAGCAGCATGAAAACGGACTAATACAATAGGGATGAACTTACTATTGCCATTTTATTATTGTTTTCTATCTTGTTTTATTATTGTTCCTTTTGTTTATTCTTCTTGTCGGTTTTTTAAATTGATTTTTTAAAATAGTGATATCCTTAGATTCTCTTCTCTTTTTCTTTTGTGTGTTTTCAATAGATACTTTTATTTGAGGTTATCATGAGGTTCACATAAAATATCCTCCGGTTATAATGGTTCATTTTATGCTGATAACAACTTAACAGCAATTGCATACAAAACTCTGCATTTTGAATTCTCCCCTCCCCACTTTATGTCATTGATATCACAGTTTACATCTTTTGTATTGTGTAGCCACTAACTCACTTTTGTATTTATTATTTTTATTTTAAAAATAGTTAAAATTTTTAATTATTTTTATTTTTAAAATAAAACAAAATAAAAATAATAAAAAATAAAAATACTTTTATTTTTTAACTTTTATACCAAAAGTGATTTAAACCCAATCATTACAATATTGCAGTATTCTGTATCTTTCTAAATATTCAGGCTTGCCAGTGAGTTTTAGACTTTTATACGCTTTTGTGTTGCTGCTTAGCATCTTTTCATTGCAACTTGAGAAACTCCCTTTAACATTTCTTATAAGACAGGTCTAGTGCTTATGGAGTCCCTCAGCTTTTGTTTGTTATCTCTCCTTCAATGTTTTTCCAAATGTTTTATTGTGATAAAATATACATATTATATAACTTACCATCTTAACCATTTTTAAGTGTACAGTTCAGTGGTATTACATGCATTTATAATGTTGTGCAACCATCACCACCATCTAGTTCCATCATTCTTTTCATCTTGTAAAATGGAAACTTCATACACCGTAAACAGTAAGTCCCCATTCCTTCCTGCTCCTAGCCTCTGGCAACCACCATAAGACACTAGTTCCTAAGGCAGTGAAATGACAGACCTGAAATATTAGATGCGTGCTCCACTCTCCCTTTCTCCTGAGAGAGAAATCATGGGCCAAGATGATCTCACTTGGTGCCAAATTTTGCTGGTTTGGGGGAAGGAATGACACAGGTAAAATGAAATTGCTCTTTTTTACTGTTTCAGTGGGCCTGTTCTAGTGTTTTGTGCTCATCTGGGGTATTCAACATCTTAACTGGATTCTGGACATCTCTTGGAGGTATTTTGATTAATATATTTTTGTTAAATAGGTGTTTCTGTAAGGAAATGAGGGTTGGGGCTGGGGCTTATTATTCCATCTTGCTCCTCCATGCATCTCCACTCCACTCCTCCATGCATCTTTATCTTTTCAAAGTATACTACAATTTAATATTGTATTGCCTCACATAAAATTTAAGGACCTTGTCAATGTCTAGTTTGGTTTGCCGCTATGCCCTCTTTCATATTATAGTTTTCATGCACATCATGTCTATGTATACTACACACTGCACATTATAATGTTATGATTTTTCTTTTGTATTCTCATATGTATATCAAATAAAGAGCAAAATATTATTTTATGTTTATCCACATATTACCATTCCTGATGCTATTTATTCCTTCCTAAAGATCCAGCTTTTCATCTGGTATCACTTTCCTTCAGACTCAACAATTTCCTTTAGTATTTCTTATCGTATGAACATGCTGATAACAAATTGTCCTAATGTTCACTTAAATGAAAATGTCAGTATTTGCCTTTATTAATAAGGGATATTTTTGATAAATGTAAAATTCTGTATTGATAGAGTTTTTAAAAAATTCAGCACTTTAAAGATGTCTTTTTTTCTTATGAAAGGTCACAGGTTGGCCGGGTGCGGTGGCTCACGCCTGTAATCCCTGCACTTTGGAAGGCCGAGACGGGCGGATCACGAAGTCAGGAGACTGAGACCATCCTGGCTAACACGGTGAAGCCCCGTCTCTACTAAAAATACAAAAAACTAACCGGGCGTGGTGGCGGGCGCCTGTAGTCCCAGCTACTCTGGAGGCTGAGGCGGGAGAATGGCGTGAACCCGGGAGGCGGAGATTGCACAATGAGCCAAGATGGCGCCACTGCACTCCAGCCTGGGAGACAGAGCGAGACTCCGTCTCAGAAAAAAGAAAGAAAGAAAGAAAGGTCACAGGTCAGTTTTATTCTGTTCCTCAGTAGGCATTTTTTCTCCCTAATGCTTTCAAAGTTTTCTATTTAAATTTGTTTTTCAATAGTTTGACTATGATATGCCTGAGTGTGGTATCCTGCTTGGAATTTATTGAGCTTGTTGAATCTGTAAATGTATGTGTTTTATTATATTTGTTTTTTTTTCAAACAGCTTTATTGAGTTATAGTTGATATACACAAACCTGCACATATTTAATATATTCAATTTGATGGTTTTTCATCATATTTGCAAATATACAGCCATTCTTTTTAAAATAATTTTTATTTTTGTGGGTATGTAGTAGGTATATTTATGGGTACATGAGATGTTTTGATACAGGCATGCAATGCATAATAATCATATCATACAAAATGAGGTATTCATCCCCTCAAGCATTTATCCTTTGTCTCACAAATAATCCGATTATACTATTTTAGTCATTTCTAGATGTATAATTAAATTGTTATTGATTATAGCCTCCCTGTTGTGCTATTATATACTAGGCCTTATTCATTCATTCTATTTTTTCTACCCATTAACCATCCCTCCCCACTACCCTTCCCAGCCTCTGGTAATCATCCTTCTACACTGTATCTCCATGGGTTCAATTCTTTGATTTTCAGCTCCCACAAATAAGTGAGAATATGCAAAGTTTATCTTCTGTGCCTGGCTTATTTCACTTAACACAATGACCTCCAGTTTAATCCATGTTTTTGCAAATTACAGGATCTCATTCTTTTTTATGCCTGAATAGTATTCCATTGTGTATATGTACCACATTTTCTTTATCTATTCATTTGCTGATGAACACTTAGGTACCTTCTAAATCTATGCTACTGTGAATAGTGCTGCAGTACCAGGGAGTGAAGATATCTCTTTGATATACTGATATCCTTCCTTTTGGGTATAAACCTAGCAGTGAGATTGCTGGATACCATATGAGGTAGCTGTATTTTTAGTTTTTTGAGGAACCTCCAAACCGTTTTCCATAGTGGTTGTACTAATTTACATTCCCACCAACAGTGTACAAAGATTCCCTTTTCTCCACATCCTTGCCTGCATTTGTTATTGCCTATCCTTTGGATATAGGCCATTTTAACTGAGGTGAGATTGTATCTCATTGTAGTTTTGATTTGCATTTCCCTGATGACTAGTGTTGTTCTGCACCTTTTCATATGCCTGTTTGCCATTTGTATGTTTTATTGTGAGAAAAGTCTATCCAGTTTTTTTTTGCCCATTTTTGAATCAGATTTTTAGATTTTTTTCTATAGAGTTGTGTTAGCTCCTTATATATTCTAGTTACTAATCCCTTATCAGATGGGTAGTTTACAAATATTTTCTCCCATTCTGTGGGTTGTCCTTTCACATTATTGATTGCTTCCTTTTCTGGGCAAAAGCTTTGTAATTTGATGTGATCCCATTTGTCCATTTTTGCTTTGATTTCCTGTGCTTGTGGAGTCTTTAGGTTTTTCCAAATATAAGATCATGTCTGCAAGGAAAGATAATTTGACTTCCTCCTTTCCAATGTGGATGCCCTTTATATCTTTCTTTTGTCTGATTGCTCTAGCTAAGTCATCCAGTACTATGTTGAATAACAGTGGTGAATGTGAGCATCCTTGTTGTGTCCCAGATCTTAGAGGAAAGGCTTTCAGTTTTTCCCCATTCAGTATCATATTAGCTGTGGGTCTGCTGTATATGGTTTTTATTATGTTGAGGTATGTTCCTTCTACACCCAGTTTTTAAGATTTTTGTCATGAAGGGATGTTGAATTTTATCAAATGTTTTCTCAGCATCTATTGAAATGATCATATGATTTTTGTTCTTCATTCTGTTGATATGATGTATCCCTTTGATTGATTTGTGTATGTTGAACCATCCTTGCATCCCAGGGATAAATCCCACTTGGTCATGATGAATGATCTTTTTAGTGTATTGCTGAATTTGGTTTGCTAATGTTTTGTTGAGGATTTTTCCATCAATAATTATCAGGGATATTGTCTTGTGGTTAGGCTTTTGTTTCAAATGTTTTTTCTTCCTCTTCTCTTATTGTTTGCCATCTGGGACTCCAATTATGTTTATAACTTTGATATTATCCTATGTATTTCTAACACTCTGCTCATCCTCTTCAATCTTTCTCTCTCTAATCTGTACTTCAGATTAGATAATATCACTAGATTTTTCTTCCAGTGAAACTACTCTTTCTTCTGCCATTTTCAACCTGCCATTAAACACCAACTCACTGAATTTTACTTCAGATATTCTGACTTCCTATTTGTTCATTTATTACACATGTGTTTTTCTTTATTTCCCTTAGTGTAATTATGATATGTGATTTAAAATTCTTTCTCCTAATTCAAACATCTGGTTTACCTTAGGGCTGGTCTCTATTATTATTTTTTCCTTGGATATGAGTAATATTTTCCTATATCTTTGCTTTGGTAGTAATTTTTGAGTGTACCCTGAAAATAGTGAATTATATATTGTAGGATACCTTTATTTTTTTCTCTAGAGCATTGATTTTGTTTGTTTTAGTAGACAGTTAATGGGGCTGAAGTGAAACTCCAAACTCTCCCTCATTGGCAGCACTGAAAACTCTGTTTAATTCTTTCAGCTTTATTTAGGCTTTTTGGAATCTGTTCCCACATAAATATTTCATGGTTTCACCAGACAGCTGGGTAGTTTATACACAGAATTTGGGGCTTCCTCTCCCTAGTTTTTTAAATTATTGAATTTCTCTCATGGCTTTTCAACTACCGTGGTCATCCTGAATTCTGCCGTCTGGTTCTTTCAGACACTTGGACTGTGAGCAGTTGTGTGTGGGAGCTGGCTAACACTGGTTTGTGAATGCCTACTGTGCATATCTCTATTCAACTCCATGTTCATGGAATGGTCCGTGGTAGAAGTATTTACACCATTGAAATTGGCAAATACTATGAATTTGTTTTTTATTAATTTTCCTCAAGATCCAGTTGTTAAACATTTAACAGTTGCAACATTGATTCTAGTTTCTCTAGAGTTTATTCACTGCTTTGGCCTGGGGGCTGCCATCAGACAAAAATTTCCAGAAAAGGAAAAACTCACTTAGTATTGTTCCCTCCTTTCAATTATTAATTCCCTTTCAATTTTTGCCTGTTTATGGGTTGCTTTCCTGTGCATTTAAATTGTTTTATTATATATTTGGTCCACTGTTTATTATTGTTATCTGCATCAGGGTTGGTCTGATAGAAGCTTCTTCACCATTGCCAGAAGTTTTCCTAATAAAGGATTCTGTTTTTTTTGTTGTTGTTGTTGTTTGTTTGTTTTTGGTTTGCAGTCAAGTGGGAAAATTATGAAAATGCTGTGAAGTTTTCATACAGGTATAATTGTATGATTCAGAGAAGAGTTTTTTTGTTCAGAGAGTGTCTTAATCCAACTTATTTATATTAAAATATCTTTTCTTTAAAATAAATGGTGGCACCCAGATGGTTTATTTGTTTGTTTGGTATCTTTATTAGATGAAAAGTTTTCAATTGTAGTAGACTGAATAGTGTCCCCCAAAATTCATGTTCGTCTATAACCTCAGGGTGTGACCTCATTTCAATGGTATGGTATTTGCAAAAGGAAGTAGTTAAAGATCTTGAGATGAAATCATTCCGGATTTAGGTTGGGCCTTAAATCCAATGACTGGTGTCTTTATAAGAAAAAAGAGGGAGATTTGGGCACACAGAAATCAGAGGAGAAGACCATTTGAAGACCGAGGCAGAGATTCAGTGATAAGCCAAGGAACACTGGAAACCACCAGAAGCTGGAAGAGACAAGAAATCATTCTCTAGAACTTTTGGAGTAGTTTGACCCTGCCAGCATCTCGATTTTAGACTTCTGACCTTCAGAACTGTGAGACAATAAATTTCTGTTGTTTTAAGCTACTGAATTTATGGTAATTTGTTATGGCAGCCCTAGAAAACTAATACAGCAACCTTAATATTTCTTTTTGCCAGTATACTAATCTATTAAATCCAATGGACATTTATGCAAACAAATCTACACATGAAAATGGGTACCTATGCAGGAAAAAGTATTTATAGCTTTATGCTCACATACACACTTGCTTTATGTGCAAGTTACATGTTAATTTTGTAGAGAAAAATACTGTACCTGCAGTCAGCAATCTGAGTACTGGCCTTGATTCTGCCACTGACTCACTATGACCTTGTGTGAATTATATTTTCTATTTAGTCTAGTTTCTTTTTCTGTACAATGACATGGTTATCTTTATGGGTCCCTTTAGCTCAGTGACTCTAAGCTTACGAGTACCTATCTATCTTCTACTCAATGTATGGACACATGCTTTTGAAGATGTATAGGAGTGTAGCACATGTACTTCATTTGGCAGGAGTAGAGAGCATTAGAAATTTGGGGGAAAAAAACCAACAGGATGGTAGTTTAAAGAGAAATGGCACACTATGGGCAACATTGTAAATGCCTATTATGTCCCAGTCACTGTATGTATATTGACACTAGTATACTTAAACACACTATATAACTCACTTTCAATTAGATGCCCTCTGAATTTTTCTAACAGGACTAGAAATCACAATATGAAGAGTTTGACTAAGAAAACTTTTATACTAATCATTATATGTAAGCAGATGCTGAATTCTTTGATAGGAACAGCTCTTTATTCACGTGCTTATATTGGTATTATCCCTGAAACACAAAAGATGGAATGTTGAATCAATGTGATTTGGAGTCGCATTTGGGGACTCACCTTTGGAGAACTTTTGAAATGTGGCAGTTTAGTTTTTATTTTCTAAGGGCCAACTTCTCCTTTACCTGGAATTTTCCTGTCTTTAGATTCCTAGACTGTTAGTTCTGGAAGGGTCTTTTAAGATCATCTATTTCCATTACCATTCATTTGGTCACTGAGGATATTGAGGGCCAGATTGAAGAACTCGTTGAAAGCAACACAGCAATTTTCAGAGGCAGAACTCAAACTCAAGTTCCTTTATTTTATTTTTAGCCTAGGTCTTTTTCCACTCTATGCTGCATTGTTACTGTGCTTTGCCTAGGTTGCTTTTTTTCTTTTGACCCAATGGGAATATAGTTCTTTTATACTTTGAGTCAATAATTATCCTTCTCCCCACCTTAGTCCTTGTGCAACTCATGTATAGGCTCACACAATTACATACATCTATATTCCCTTTGGAATTTTTGAAAAGAAAGCATTGTGGTTCTGCTGCTTGTCTGTCTTACCTACAGGGAAGCTAGAACTGATAGTTTTGAATTGGGTCTGCACTTCTACTTGGTTGAGGGTGGGGGTGGAAGTTAGGTCAACAGGGGATCAATGTGGCGGAACTCTTTCTTCTTAGTGGAGTATGAATGACAACCCCTTTGATGTACATTTTTCTAGCTCATTATTGTCCCCAGAGATGGAATCTGAACAGACAGGATTGTCAAACCTTTATTTGCAGCCTGGGTTAGAAGGCACGCCCATAAGGATATAAGGGAGACAGAGGGAAAAAGGAGGAAGCTCACTCTTCAGTCTCGGAGCAGCAAGTAAGCATCACACATCAGCTACAGTAACCCATACTTCCTTTATCCTCCTATTCGCTCATACCCTTTTGCTCTCTTTCTCTTCCCTTTGCTGCCTCTGCTCCTCCCTTTCTCTCTGGGCTTCCCTCTATTTCTCTGTTGGATGCCTTAAGGAATAAAATACTACTTTAGTATTTCGTAAAACAACCACATCTAAAGCCTTGCAGTACTGTATTCAGAGCCCCAGCACAGCCGCGTGCTAAGCACCAGTGGTGAACCTAAAGCCAGCAAAGGGGGAGGGGAGAAGGGGAGGGGAGGAGGGGAGGGAGAAACTGACAGAGAGGGAGGGAGGCAGATTGAGAGAGAGAGAGAGAGAGAGAGAGAGAGAGAGAGAGAGCGAGAGAGCGTGAGCGCGCGCAAGCTAGCGAGCAAACCAGAGAGACAGACCGAGAGAGGGACCAGGAGAGAGACCCAGAGAGAGAAGAAGAAGCCAGAAGCCGAGCTCTGTCAGGGCTCAACCTCCAACTTGTTTCAGTTCATTCATCCTTCTCTCCTTTCCGCTCAGACTGTAGAGCTCGGTAAGAAACATTGATGTTCCTTCTTCCCCCTCCCCCAAGCTCAGGTCTCCTTTAGCGATAGCATCTCTCCCCCGTACTGAGAGTCTCCTTGGGTTGGCCGGGAGGCGAGGCATGCTCTGCAGCTGTGATGCTATCCTGGGTTCCCCAGTGGGGCTGGTGGAAGCCCAGAGGCGGCATCTGAGCAGGGAGACACTGGGGTAAAACCCGATTTGAGGAAGGGGGGTTGCGATGTGGTATATGCGTGATTTGCTTCATTGTCAGTGAATTGTTTTGTTCCTCTTTGGAAGCAGGTCAGCACTGACCTTGCAAATTGCTTGGGGGGCCCCAGCAGCTGCTGCAGAAAGCCACGGAGTGGCCCCTAGCCAAAGCAGACAGCACTGTCATGACCCCCCAGACAGCTCTAGGCACCAGGGATGTAGTAATGGCTGGAGCTTTCTCCCTTCTTTAACTCTTTCTCCGCAGCTGCTTCTCACTGCTGGAAATAAGAAAGAAGGAGGGTACCTTGCAGCCTCTTTCCCCATCTCCCCATTACCTCCCCCACATGCAAGTGAGTAGAAAGTTGTAAATAACTGCTTCCTTTAAAGCAGATTGAGCCCTCCCCCCTTCCTTTGAGGGGCTCACTGTGGGGTTGGGCCTGACTTCCTCCACAAACTTGGGAGGTTTGCCTTGTTTCCCGGCGAGAAGCTCCATTGCCTGCCCACCCTCAATTCCAGATAATTGAGCTGACATCCTAGATCAGAGATTGAGATACCCCACCCCATCTCACTCATAGGCATCATGTTAAGTCCAGCTGTGTCCTTGGAAGGGAGGAAACACCTGATGGTTTGTCTGCAACTGGCCTCCCAGTTTGTTGCTCCTCTGACTGTGGCTGTGGCTGTGGCTGCGGGTGGCATGGGCAAGAGGACTGGGGGAAGGGTGGCTGTTGGATTTATGGAAAGCAGGGTGATGAGGTAGGATTACTAACGTGAGTAGTTTGGCTTATTGAGAGTCAGCAAGTTCTGGTTGTCTGGAGCTCTGCAAAGACTGATTGAGGCTCTTGTAGTATAGCCCTTCAGAACTGGTAGGGGAAGGGATCCAATTGTTTGATGGGAGCTTTCTAAGTGAGTGACGCTGCTGTGCCTGTGGTAGTAATTCTGACATCCCTAATACTAATTGCTAAAATTATCGAGTATGTAGTATATTTTGGATTCTGGGCTGAGTGTTTGGTGTGTATTACTTCATTAAATTACTGTAGCAGAATAGTGCATTGAATAACAGACACTATTATTATCTTTGGTTTACTCACAAAATTGAGGCACAGAGAGGTTAAGTAACTTATCCAAGATTACAGAGCAATTACATGTCTCAGTTGGAAATTAAACTGGCAACCTGGTTCCAGAATCCGTGGTCTTAACCATGAAGCACTACTGCCTTCTTGGGGAGAATTTTGCACCTTTGTCTGTTAGGCAAGTGTAGATACAATAGGTACAGTGTGGCTTGGCAAGGTTTTTTGGAAAGTAGCGGCCTGGCTTTCGTGTAGAGTAACAGCAACTCAGCCTGGAGCCGGGCTTCACCTGGATTTCTGGAGGGGCTGCCCAAAAGACTTTGATTGGTCAGCTTCCTTTCCTTGAAAATCGTACTTCACTTTTTATAGCCTCATCCACCCAACATGCTCCAAACTGCACCTTTTAAAAACAGACCTCATTCTTATTTCCTGAGCATTTGGAGTTGTTCTGTGCCGAAAATTTTAGAATACTAAAACCTTGGAACTGGAAGGAGCCCAAAAGGTCATTCATTAAGCTTTATTTCTCTACTCAGTTCTTGAATTTATCCTAAGCATCCAATTTGTTGACTGATTTCTAGTTGAACTCCCTGCAGTGACAGAGAGTGCATTAGGTGGCTCTTTGTGTCATGGAGCAACTCTGATTGTCAGAAAGTATTCCCCATCATAAGCCAAAGTCTGTTTCCCAGTAACTTATATTCGTTGGTTCTTTGGGACTATCTGGAACAAATTTGCTTTTTCTTAATAATAGTTCTTCAGTTAGTTGAAGACAGCAATCATGCCTCCCTCTTAACCCTTGGATCCAATAAGACCACAGAGTAAAGGATTATCATTTACTTCATGCTGGATATTAGACTATTCTTAATATGGCCTAATAGCCCACTTGTTTTGTTAGCCACAAATTGACCCTACGGAGTTTTCTAGAGCAGCCCTGATAGTGTATATTCTCTTCCTTGGATGAGCTTGCTATCTGGTGTCAACTGGACTGATGGGAGCAAGGAAGGTCGCTTTCATATTCCTAAAGACCAGAAATTGGTTAGTACTAGTCCTTCTAAAGCCCCCAGGATGTCTATATGGCATCCGGACAATAGGCGTGTGGGAAGATTTGAGTGGCAGGAATTTTCATAAAGAAAATTATGAAATTTTCTAATTTCATGAAGAAAAGTACCACATTTGAAATAGTGGTAGTTCAAGGTTCATACAGTATGCAGAAGGTAGAAGAATATATTGTTTTATCAGAAAACACCTCAGGAATAATTACATCACTGAGGGGATACAATGCAGTGGGACTGGGTGGAAAGGGGTGAGTATGTGGTTGCTAGAATGGAACACTGACTTGGCTGTTAGCAAATTTGGGTTCCATTCCTAGCTCAGATGATTTGCTGATTATCTTGGACATATGACTTCCCCTCCATGTGCCTCAGTTTTTCCATCTGTAAGATGTTGAGATGGACTGTGTCTCTGAGGGTCTTTCAACTCTGAAATTCTCTATCTGAAGTAAATTATAAGATTTCAGAGTTATGAGAGGCTTCGGAAATCGTTAGGCCAGTGCTTCTCAAACTTTAATGTGTAAAAATATCTCCTGGGAATCTTGTTAAAATGCGAATTGTGATTCAGAGAGTCTATGGCAGGGGCCTCGGATTTTGCATTTTAGCAATCTATTAGGTGATCCTGAAACTGCTGTTCCACTGACCACACTTCAAGTAGCAAAGCTCTAGTAGAGTACTGGTCAAACTCCCCTAGTGAAGGAAAATGTTTGTTGTCATTTGTTTGTTTGTTTCCTAATCCATCACAGAAGACTGTTAATTTAGTAAAATAAATTAACCATGAATTACTAGAAAATGAAAGAAAAGACATACAAAAGATAAGCCCGCATTTGTATTATTAGATTCTACAGACATAAAATGATTTTTTCAAATTGCTGTAACATTTTCTAAGTGCTTACTCTTGACTTCTGTACTTTGGTCCTTACTGCCTGGTAATAAAAGTTCACAGACAGGCACTGATTTGGCGGGCTACATTTTGAGTGCACTGGTCTAGGCTACCTGCCCATCTAATTTAAGAGGCCCAAATTAGACCCAGCTTTAATTTCTAAATCACCTGTCATGATCTTTTACCCTACAGTTAAATATCTCCTTTAATGAAGAATTTAACATTTACACAAAGTTGCATTGTTCATGTGTTGTGACAGATAAAATGTTTGTTTTTTCTTAAAACTCTTAATTTCCTTAGAGTTTCTACAAATTACGCTTTCAGTTATATATTCCAAGTGGGTGAAGGGCTGTATCAGTTCAGTTAATTATACCGTTAGCCATTAGCCTAGTATATGACATAGAGTAGGAGGCTTAACAGATGTTTTTTAAATAAATGAATGAACCATTTGACATTAGTTGTGGGGCCATACATTCAATAAAGGAAAGGTAATTTGGGCTTTCTTCTGCATTGGGGAAACAGGATTCATCCCATTTTAAAAATTTCTTACAGTGGATAGAAAGCCAACTTGACTACTTCAGAGGGTTACTTGGTATCTCAATTTTATTTTGAAGGGATTGCTGGAGTGGGCCATTATAAGGCTGTTGGTCTTTATTCTAGAAAGAGTGGGACTGATTAAAGGGCTTTGAGCAGGATAACTGACATGGCTTAAATGGAATCTATTCAATATAAGGTTACTAAGTGCCTATGATGAACCAAAGATAATGTGGGAGATACAGGATTATTTAAGAATAGCCTCTGCCCTCCAAGATGACACAGTCAAGTAGGAAAGAGAAGAAATAGACAAACAACTATAGTATTAGGAGATGAGATCTACACCCATAAGAGAGAAGCAAAGGGCTTTAAGGAGATCAAAGACACCTTCCTGGAAGTGGCATTTGAAATGAGCTTTGAAGATGAGACAAACTTTGAGTGTGCAGAATTGGGGGATGGGAAAGGTATTCTATTCAGAGGCTAGTTGTGTTGGAGTAAAGTGTATGCAGAAATACTTATGTGGGATGTGTTTGGCAAGATAGATGGAGGGCTTGACTGTCAATCATACTGAATGCTAGATGGGAAAATTAGGACTTTATATGCAAAGGAGATGCAACTCCCTCATTTTGTGGATGAGCAAACCCATCTTGACAGGGTGAGGGACTTGATTTGCCTGAGGCCACACAGGTAGTAATATTGTTGTAGCCCAGTAAAAGGTACTGAGCACATTTGAAAATATGGGATTGGAACTCTGGAAAGAAGTCAGTAGGAGAGAGTGATTTGAGAGTCATTGCCTCTCAATACTTGAAATAGAATAAAAGAGATTCAGGGGTGGTACTTTGAAGAATGCTTTTTTTTTTTTTAGGATATGGGAGAGAACAATGAACCTTATGTGAAGGCTACAAAGGAGAAAAAGTCAGGGATATGGAAGGAAAATTAGAAGAGTACAGTGTTATGAAGGTGCCAAGAGAGGAGAGGCACCTTCTAATTTATTTCTTGCATACATAACATTTACTAGGCATGGAGAATATAATGGTGAGCAAAACAGACAAAGTTGTTGCCATCCTGGGCTCATGGTTTAGATGGTGAGATAGACATTATTCGACAGACCACTGAACTATGTAGTCATAAATTGTGATTCATATGTAGAGGAAAATGTACCGCTTTAAAAAGAAAGGTGTGGTCAGCATTATTAAACTTCACAGCAGAGTTGAGTAGTGATAGATGATATCTGGTTTATAACAGTCCTTCCCACTCTGATGGTCACAGTGCCTACCAACACTTCAGTTGGATGATGCATACGCATTTTGCAAATGTTTGGCAGATGACTGTGCTTCAATAGTAAGGGAAGGGAAGGGTCCCTCCAGGCTCATGTCCACAGGAGCAGTGACTTACTTAAAAACTAGGTTATATGTCATGTAGCTTAACTGAAATTCACAAAGACCCAGTGCCTTTCCCAGGTCCTCCAACTCTCTCTATTCAGCAATTTATAGGAAGAGGCACTTGATAAAAAATATGAAGAATTTGATATTAAAAATCCCTCTTAAAATGGGATTTCTGATAGCCTAGTCCTGACTTGGATACTCGGTTTGTTGTGACATATCACTTGTCTTGTTGGAGCCTGTTTCCATAACTGTAAAATACGGTGGGGGGAGGTTTGGAAAAGGGTTTTGAATAGGGTGACTGACATGAATCCATTAAGATATTTAGAAAGAGCCTCCAAGCTGTAAGGTTCTATAGTTCATGTTCTGCTCTATATTGTGTTATCATGGTTCTGTGCAGGTAGCTCAGGTTTGGTCACTTCTATAAGCAACACTAATAACTTTATACAGAATTCTGAAGGTTGATAATTTTGGTGGGAGTATTCACAGACTTTGGAAGGGGTCATTGAAATGCACCTTCCATTTTTTATTCCTGAGGTGACTGAAATTGTAACTGTCCTGAGAGTTAAGGAAAGAACTGACCGTATTGTAAAATATATAGTAAAGTTGGATATTAGGTGGTATTTCTATTACTGCTGGTTTGAAATAAACTAAAGTCACTGAGAATAAGATGGGGCATAATACTGTTAAATACACACAAGGTGATTATCTCATTCTGAAATGTAATGGTCCAGGTAGTCTCTTCCTGGGGGGAAGATGTATGTGAAGGGAAATACTAGTTGGTAATATAAAAGCATTTTTATACTTAAAAGCATGATTTTAAACGTATTGATGTCTGCACAAAATATGTCTCCTGAATATACACAGAAGGGGGAATAAAAATCTCCAGGATATATATTTTGAAGGGTACTTTTCTCTTTAAAAACTGATTTCTTAAAAAACACAAGTATTTTTTTTTTTTTTTTTTTTTTTTTTTGAGACGGAGTCTCACTCTGTTGCCCAGGCTGGAGTGCAGTGGCGGGATCTCGGCTCACTGCAAGCTCCGCCTCCCGGGTTCACGCCATTCTCCTGCCTCAGCCTCCCAAGTAGCTGGGACTACAGGCGCCCGCCACCACGCCCGGCTAATTTTTTGTATTTTTAGTAGAGACGGGGTTTCACCGTTTTAGCCGGGATGGTCTCGATCTCCTGACCTCGTGATCCGCCCGCCTCGGCCTCCCAAAGTGCTGGGATTACAGGCGTGAGCCACCGCGCCCGGCCAAAAAAAAACAAACAAACAAACAAAAAAAAACAAAAAAAAAAAAACACACAAGTATTATATATAGTTTTTAAGGGAAGGGGAGGTGGATGGAGATGGAATTATGTAAGTGACCATAGCATAAAATAACCTTTCAAAATAGTAAAAGAGGAGTTCAGAAATGGCAGGGCCCTTAACAATCATGTGATGGCAGTCTTATCACCCAGTACATATGGTCATCTGTTTTCAGTGTGAATGGTTTCAGGAAAGGTTGCTTAACACCACCAGATAACAGACAGCTTGGTTGTTAGCAAGTTATTCTTCATACTGACCTGCAATCTGTCTTCTGAATTCAACCTATTGATCTTGCACCTTGGAGCAATAGCTATACTGTGTAATTGCTGTTCCCCTTCCTTGTAGTGGCCATTCAAATGTTTAACCATGGTTGTTCTTCTCATCTTTTCTTCAGTCTATATATTGCTAGTTCTTGAGCTTATGTGATATATATTTTGAGAAACTTATACAGTAGACACTTCTATCTTCAGTGTCCCTCTTAATATATGATGTCCAAAACGGGACCCAGTACTTTAAGCATGGATGGCTAGCACTTCCATTTAAAAAATTGAGTATATTTTCTAATATACCTTAAGATTGTAATATCTACCATTACATTGTTTTTTCCTGATTATAAAAGTAAAACAACCGCATTACAGAAAATTTTGAAAATGAAGAGACATTTAAAAAAAAAATCACCTCTAAATCCCTAGTCCAGAGATACCTTGCTGTATTTCCTTTCAGATGTGTTTCTGTGTTTATATAATCGGGATCACATCTTATATGTACTATTTTTGATCTGGCTTTTTCATTGGTATTATATTGTGAGCATTTCCCCACATCGGTCAGCAGCCTTCAAACAATTTTTAATGGCTGCATACTTTTCAGTTTTCAATTTCTACCATAATTGTATGACAGATCACATATTGATCGTTTAAATTATTTTTGCTTCTTTGAACCTCACCTTTTTTAGGTCTTTATTCAAATGTCACATTTGAATTCTAAATGATCTCACATAAAAATGCAAACCCATCTTTTCCAACACTCACTCTTCCCCTTTCTTGCTTTACTTTTTTAAACCTTTGGTTTGTGTCATCACCTGATAGACTAGATACATTACATCTATTGTTTGGATTCCTGTTTTAGGGTGTAAGTCCCTCAAGCCCGGGGATTTTTTTCTCCATTTTGTTCACTCTTATATCCGCTAGAACCTACAATAAGGTCTGACATATTGTAGATACTTACTAAATATTTGTTGAATGAATTATTAAGATGAGTTTTTATGAAAGACATTACTGGGCCTGAAGATACTAACGTTTTAAAGGCTCTTGATATCTATGTGAAGGTGTTCCACTCTACTGTATAAGATTGTTGATTACTGCTCATACACCCATGACAGTGCTGGCCATTGCCATTCTTTTAAAATTTTTACCGATCTGTTAGGGGCAAAATGGTACCTTACTGTTTTAATACGTGTTTCTTTTATTATAATGAGATTGAATACTTTTTTATATTTCTTGATTAATTTTGTTTCCTTTCTATAAACATCTATTTATGATCTTTGTACATGTTCCATTAAGAACTTACATTTTTTTAAATTTGTATGGGCAATGTATGTTTAGTTGACCCATTAGACCTCTTTCTGTCAAATGTAGGGAAAATATTCTCCCACTTACATTTTAAATGTTTACATTTAAAAGTTTACATTTTAAATTGACTTTTATGCATAGTAATCTTAATTTTATGTAATTATATTTATCTTTTCATTTGTAATTTCTTCTGATGAATTCGTGTTTAAGAATTTCTTCCTCATTCAAAATTGGATAAGTGCTTAAATGAATTTTGTTTTAGTTTTTATTGCTTATGTTTAATCCCTCTGGAATTTATTTTGCTGTGTAGTGTGAGGTAATTTTCTAAATTGTTTTCCCTGCCAATTGTTTCATAGCACCAAACACTGAATAATTCATTCATTCCCACTGTTCTGTAATATATACAAATTGTAATATATAATAGATTCTGTTTGGAATTTATCTATTCTTCATTTCTTTTAGTCTGTCTCTTCCTGTCCTAGTTACAAAGTTTAAATATTATTGTAGCTTTAAAATAATTTTTATTACCTCAGCTCTTCTACTTACTAGCTGTGTAGTCTCTCTAAGCCTAAATTTATCTGTATAGAATGGGTAGCAGTAACATTTATTTTATGCTCTTAATTTTGTGAAGGGGATCTTTCTACCATTATTTCTGCTAATTGATTATGCAGAAAATTAGTATTTATGATTTTAACTTCTATTTTTTTCACTTTGCTGAAATTTATTATTATAAATGTATAGTTTACAAGTTATTTTCTTGTTTTTTTTCCCTTTTTTTATTTTGGAAATTTAAGGGAAACTCAGAGAATCTTTCAAAACAATGAACAAGTAACCACATATATACTACTCAGAGTGAACAACTGTTAGCATTTTGTCGTTTTGGCTTTTGATATGTTTTAATAAAATAAATGAAACATTATATATAAACTTTAACTTTCTTTGTGTCTAGCCCCCGTTTCATTCCTTTCCACATCCCTCCAAACGTGACACTCAGGGCCACTCACATTTGCTGAATTTTCTATTCAGTTGCTTCTTCTTACTGATTCATAAGACTTATTTATATATTCTGGATACTAATTATTTGTGATATATATAGCATATATCTGCTTCTATAATGTTACTTCGCTTTCTATTTTGTTTATGGGGTCCTTTATCATTACAGAAGTTTTACATTTTCATATCAGGTTTATCAATCTTTTCCTCCATGAATTGTGCTTTTTGTATCATGCTTTAAGAGATATTCCTGATGCTATGATCATAAAAAATGTTCTCCAAAATTTTGCTGAAGAGTTCAAGAAATTTTCTTTACACTTAGTTCTTTAATCCATCTGGATTTTATTCTTGTATGTGATGTAAAATATTAAGCAGTTTTTTTTCCATGTAAAATACTATTTGTTTTAAATATCATTTATACACAACTAGTTTAGACCGCAAACTCCACCACATTGCCTAATTTTTATATGTGTTTGAGTCTATTTCTAGGCTCTCTATTGTGTTTCATTAATCTATTTGTCTACACTTGTGTTGTTTTACCTACAAATGCTTTATAACGAATTTGATATTTGTAAAGTCAAGTTACTGTTCACTGCCTTCATCCACACTCACACCACTTTTCTTGTTTTTTCTGGATTATCTTATTTTTGGTCCTTTCCTCACTTACCTTAATTTTAAAACGAAATTATCAAATTACAAGAAAATAATGTTTGTTTTTCTTGAAATTATATTGAATCTGTAGAATGATTTGAAGAAGAATTGACATCCTTTTGACAGAGATTTCCTATTCATGAATATGTTATATCTTGGCATTTATTCAGGACTTTTTGCAACCTTTGATGAAGGTTGGTAAATTTATTGATAATACTCTTACATATTAGATTTAGTCCCAGGCAACTTTATTTTTTAGTCAGATTTATTAATGTATAATTAGCATAAAATAAAACTTACCCTTTGTAAGTGTACAGTTTAAGTTCTGACACATGTATATGATTGTGTAACCACTACCACCGGTGCCACCACAATAAGGATAGAGAAAATTTCCCTTACTATAACAGGTTCTTTTGGGCCCCTTTGCAGCCAGTTCTTTTCTTCTACCTACAATTCCAGGAAACCATCTATCTGTTTTCTTTTTCTTTTCTTTTTTTTTTTTTTATTATACTATAAGTCTGAGGTACATGTGCAGAACGTGCAGTTTTGTTACATAGATATACATGTGCCATGGTGGTTTGCTGCACCCATCAACCTGTCACATACATTAGGTATTTCTCCTAGTGCTATCCCTCCCCTAGCCTCCCACCCCCTGACGGGCCCCAGTGTGTGATGTTCCCCTCCCTGTGTCCATGTGTTCTCATTGTTCAGCTCCCACTAATGAGTGAGAACATGCAGTGTTTGGTTTTCTGTTCTTGTGTTAGTTTGCTGAGAATGATGGTTTCCAGCTTCATCCATGTTCCTGCAAAGGACATGAACTCATCCTTTTTTATGGCTGCATAGTATTCTGTGGTGAATATATGCCACACTTTCTTTATCCAGTCTATCACTGACGGACATTTGGGTTGGTTCCAAGTCTTTGTGAACAGTGCCACAATAAACATAGATGTACACGTGTCTTTATAGTAGCATGATTTAAAATCCTTTGGATATATACCCAGTAATGGGATCGCTGGGTCAAATGGTATTTCTAGTTCGAGATCATTGAGGAATTGCCACACTGTCTTCCACAATGGTTGAAGTAATTTACACTCCCACCAACAGTGTAAAGCGTTCCTATTTCTCCACATCCTCTCTAGCATCTGTTGTTTCTTGACTTTTTAATGATTGCCATTCTAACTGGTGTGAGATGGTATCTCATTGTGGTTTTGATTTGCATTTCTCTAATGAGCAGTGATGATGAGCTTTCTTTCATATGTTTGTTGGCTGCATAAATGTGTTCTTTTGAGAAGTGCCTGTTCATATCCTTTGCCCACTTTTTGATGGGGTTGTTTTTTTCTTGTAGATTTGTTTAAGTTCTTTGTAGATTCTGGATATTAGCCCTTTGTCAGTTGGATAGATTGCAAAAATTTTCTCCCATTCTGTAGGTTGCCTGTTCACTCTGATGATAGTCTCTTTTGCTGTGCAGAAGCTCTTTAGTTTAATTAGATCCCCTTTGTCAATTTTGGCTTTTGTTGCCATTGCTTTTGGTGTTTTAGACATGAAGTCTTTGCCCATGCCTATGTTCTGAATGGTATTGCCTAGGTTTTCTTCTAGGAATTTTATGGTTTTAGGTCTTAGGTTTACTGTCCTCAAAGTGTTGTTTCTTTTATGCTATCACATCAATGGAAACATTTGGTATGTAGTCTTTTGTGTCTGGCTTCTTCTAATTAGCACTTACTTTTAGGATTCATCCATGTTTTTGCATATTTTCATTATTGTTTATTCTTTATTATTGCTGAGTAATTTATTCATTCAACAGTTTAGGGACATTTGTTTTTTTCCCACTATTTAGCCATGTCGCAATGCTGTTATAAATGTTCTTGTACAGGTTTTTGCTTCACATATATTTTTATTTATGCTAGGTAAATACCTAGAAGGGGACTCCTGGGGTTATATGCAAAGTAAATGTCTAACTTTATAAGAAATTGTCAAGCTATTCTCCAAAGTGGCTATATAATTTTGCATTCCCACCGGCAGTGTGTAAGAGTCTCAGCTGCTCATTATCCCCACCACCACTTGGTATTTTCATCTTTAAAAAACTAGACCAGGCACGGTGGCTCATGCCTGTAATCCCAGTGCTTTGGAGGCCGTGGCAGGTGAATCACTTGAGGTCAGGAGTTCGAGACCAGCCTGGCCAACATGGTGAAACCCCGTCTCTACTAAAAATACAAAAATTAGCCTGGTGTGGTGGCAGGCGTCTGTAATCTCAGCTACTCGGGAGACTGAGGCAGGAGAATCAAATCACTTGAAACTGGGAGGTGGAGTTTGCAGTGAGCTGAGATTGTGCCGCTGCACTCCAGCCTGGGTGACAGAGTGAGACTTCATCTCAAAAAATAATAATAATAATAATAATAAACTTTATTTTAGAACAGTTTCGGATTTACAAAAAAATTCAACGGAGTTACCCCATCCCCCACCCCAGTTTCCCTTATTATTAACGTCTTTAATGTGGTGCATTTGTTACAACTGATAAACTGATATTGATATATTATTATTAACTCACGTCTATAGCTTGCATTTGTGCACACTCTTTGTGTTCTACAGTTCTATGAATTTTGACAATGTATAACATATATCCACCATTATTGTATAATATAGAATAGTTTCTCTGCCCTAAAAAATCTCCTGTTATATACCTGTTCATCCCTCCCTCCAGCCTGAACCTCTAGCAACCACTGATCTTTTCACTCTCTTTAATGTTTTGCCTTTTCCAAAATGTCATATAGTTGAAATTTTACAGTATGTAGCTTTTAAGGCTGGCTTCTTTCACTTGACAATATGTATTTAAGATTTTTCCATGTATTATCATGGCTTGATAACTCATTTCTTTTTATTGCTGAATAATATTCAATTGTGTGGATAGACACATAGGCTGTACCACAGTTTGTTTATCCATTCACCTACTGAAGGACATCTTGGTTACTTCCAAGTTTTGGCAATTATGAATAAAGCTGCTATAAGTGTTTGTAAGCAGGTTTTTGTGTGGATATAAGTTTTCAACTCATTTGGGTAAATACCGAGGAGTGCAATTGCTGGATCATATGGTAAAACTATGTTTAGCTTTGTAAGAAACTGCCTGACTGTCTTCCAAAGTGGCTATATCATTTTGCACTGCCATCAGCAATAAATGAGCATTCCTGTTGCTCCACATGTTTACTAGCATTTGGTGTTGTCTACATTTTGGATTTTGGACATTCTAATAGGTGTGTAGTGATACTTCATTGTTGCTGTAGTCTTCAATTCCCTAGCGACATACGAGTTGAGCATCTTTTTGCATGCTTATTTGCAATCTTATCTGTTTTGCTGAGCTGTCTCTTCAGTTCTTTTGCTCATTTTTAACGGGGCTGTTTTCTTATTGTTCAGTGTAAGAGTCCTTTATATATTTTCAATATAAGTTCTGTACTAGATATATGTTTTGCAAATATTTTCTCCTAGTCTATGGCATGTATTTTCATACTCTTAACAGTGCGTTTCACAGAGCAAAGATCTTAAATTTTAATGAAGGTCAATTTATCAGTTTTTACTTTCATGGATCATTCTTTCTTTTCCCCTATTTTGTCTTCTAGGACTTTTTTGGTTTTGTATTTTACTGGCTATGACCCATGTTGAGCTAATTTTTGTTAAGAATGTAAGGTCTTTGTCAAGATTCATCTTTTTTCTGCAAGTGGATGACCAGTTATTCCAGCACCATTTGTTGAAAAGACTATCATTTATCCCTTATATTATCTTTGCTTCTTTGTCAAGGATCAGTTGACTATATTCATGTGGGTCTATCTATTTCTGGGGTCTCTATTCTGTTCCACTGACGTATTCATCTATTCTTTTACCAGCACTACACTGCCTTGTTTCCTGTCAGGTAGTGTCAGTCCTCTAACTTTATTCCTATTCTTTAGTATTGTGTTTACTATTCTGGGTCTTTTGTCTTCCTATATAAACTTCAGCATCTGTTTATTGATATCTAGAAAATAAATTGTTGGGATTTTGGTTGGGACTGCATTGAATGTATATATCAGTTGAGAAGAACTGACCTTACCAATAATGAATCTTCCTATCCAACAATACTGAGTCTTCCTATTCATGACCATGGAATATTTCTCCATGTATTTAGATCTTCTTTGATTTCTCTTATCAGAGTTTTATAGTCTCCTTAAAGATATCATATACATATTTTGTTAGATTTATACCTAAGCATTTCAGATTTTGGTGGTAACATAAATAGTGCATTTTACATTTCAAATTCCAGTTGTTCATTGCTAGTATATAGGAATGCTATTGACTTTTGAAGATTAGTCTTGTATCCTGCCTTGTCAGTCTTTCCCGTGAGTGCGTAGTGGTAGCTCATTGTGGTTTAATTTGCATTTTCCTATGACTAATGATACTGAACATTTTCTCATGTGCTTATTAGCCATCTGTGTATCTCATTTGGAGAAATGTCCATTCAAATCGTTTGCCCATTTTAAAATTGGGATATTTGTGTTCTTATTATTGGGTCATTCTATAATACAATATATAATATTAAATATAATACAAATTCTTTAGAAGATATGTGTTTTGGAAATATTTTCTGCCCTTCTGTGGCTTGTCTTTTCATTTTCTTAATGGGTTTTCTATTATGACTTGTACCTTTTGCATTCTAAGAAGTCTTTGCATTAATTAAGTTCAAAATAATTCTCTCTTGTTTTGTTCTAGAGTTTTGTAGTTTCTGTTCTTTGATTTATGTCTTTGGTGCATGTTTAGATGACTTTTGCCTTTGGAGCAAGGTAATGTTCCAGGCATATACAATATATTTTTCCTTATGTATGTCCAGTTTTTCCAGCCCCATTTGTTGACAAGAGTATGTTTTGCCCATTGAATTACCTTGGCACCCTTGTCCAAAATCAACTGACTGTGTATGGATGGATCTACTTCTGGACTCTATTCTGTTTATTTGATCTGTTTGTGTAACCTTGAAACTAACATGCTGCATCAATTATTATAATTCAGTGGTTCCCAACTGGGGCAATATTCCCCCCAGGGACATTTGGCAATGTCTGGAGACATTTTTGGTTACCACAAATGGAGGGACATGCTCCTGGCATATTGTGGGTAGAGGCCAGGCAGCTACCCAAACAATAAAGTATTGCTCTGCCCCAAAATGTTAATATTGTTGAGGTTGAGAAACTGCAATAGCATTTTCGTAAATCTTGAAGTAAAGCATTGTGGATCCTTTAACTTTGTTCTTCATTTAAAAATTATTTTTGAAAAACAATTAAAAACTGTCTTTGGCTATCCTAGGTCCTTTGTATTTCCAGATAAATTGATCAGCCAGCTTTTCCCTTTCTCCTCCAAAAATGCTACTGAAAGATTTATTGGGATTGAGTTAAATCTTTAGGTCAATTTGGGAAGAAATGACATCTTAACTACCTTGAGTCTCCTGATACATTAAGATGGTATAACGTTTTATTGTTTATTTCTTCTTTAAATTATCTTAACAATGTTTTGTATATTTCAGTGTATAGATCTTGCATATATTTTGTGAAATTTATCTTAAGTAATACATGCTTTTTGATGCTATTATAAATGGTAATTTATAAATTTTAACTTCTGATATTTATTATTAGTGCATAGCAATACAATTAATTTTTGTCTATTGATATTGTATCTTATGAACTTATAAAACTTAATTACTAGTTCTAGTAGTTGTTTTGTTTGTTTTTAGATTCTTGGTATTTTCTGTATTTTATTATTATTCCTTTACTTTAAGTTCTGGGGCACATGTGCAGAATGTGCAGGTTTGTTACATAGGTATACATGTGCCATGAAGTTTGCTGCATCCATCAACCTGTCATCTGCATTAGGTATTTCTCCTAATGCTATCCCTCCCCTAGCCCCCCACCCCCTGACAGGCCCCAGTGTGTGATGTTCCCCTCCCTATGTCCATGTGTTCTCATTGTTCAACTCCCCCTTATGAGTGAGAACATGTGATGTTTGGTTTTCTGTTCTTGTGTTAGTTTGCTGAGAATGATGGTTTCCAGCTTCATCCATGTCCCTGCAAAGGACATGAACTCACCCTTTGTTATGGCCGCATAGTATTCCCTGGTGTATATGTGCCACATTTTCTTCATCCAGTCTATCACTGCTGGGCATTTGGGTTGGTACCAAGTCTTTGCTATTGTGAACAGTGCCGCAATAAACAAACGTGTGCATGCACCTTTATAGTAGAGTGATTTATAATCCTTTGGGTATATACTCAGTAATGGGATTGCTGGGTCAAATGGTATTTCTAGTTCTAGATCCTTGAGGAATTGCCACTCTGTCTTCCACAGTGGCTGAACTAATTTCTACACAGATGAGTATGCTGTCTGGTAGTAAACACAGTTTTAATTCCTATTTTCCAAATCATATCTTTTTTTCTTGCTGTATTTATATTATTTTATTTTATTTTTACTGTATTTTAACTGGATAGGACCTCTAGTAGAATGTTGAATGGAAGTGTACAGCAGATCTCCTTGCCTTGATCTTCATTTTATTGCAGGAAATATTCAGTCTTTCGCCATTAACTGTGGTGCCATCTTTGGATTTTTATCACATACCATTTATAAGTTTGAGGGAGTTCCCTTCTATCCATAGTTTGGTGAGGGATTTTTATCATGAATGTATGCTGATGATCTTGAATTTTTTAAAATGCTTTTTATGTATCTATTGAAATGATCTTTCTAAGTCTATTGCTATGGTGAATTACAGTGATTGACTTTTAAGTGTTGAACCATTCTACCATTTCCCATAGAACCATTCTATTTGGTCATGATGTATTATTCTTGTTATATATATCTCGGCTTATTTTTATTTACAGTTTTTTTTGTGTCTGCATTCATTAGATATATTGGTCTTTAATTTTCTTTTCTTATAATGCATTTATTTGGTTTTGGAAAAGAGTCACTCTAGTCTCATAAAATGAGGTGGGAAGTGTTTTTTCCGTCTTTTGTGAAACAGCTTGTGTAGAATTAGTATTCTTTCTTCCTTAAGTACTTGGTGTATTAGTCAGAGGGGGAGTTTATTAAGTATTAACTTCCATGATTACAAGGTCCCACAATAGGCTGTCTGCAAGCTTGAGGAACAAGGAGAGTCAGTCCGAGTCTCAAAACTGAAGAACTTGGAGTCCTATGTTTGAGGGCAGGAAGCATCCAGCATGGGAGAAAGATGTAGGCTGCGAGGCTAGGCTAGTCTCGCTTCTTAATGTTTTTCTGCCTGCTTTACATTCGTTGGCAGCTGATTAGATTGTGCCCACTAGATTAAAGGTGGGTCTGACTTCCCCAGCCCGCTGACTCAAATGTTAATCTCCTTTGGCAACACCCTCACAGATACACCCAGGATCAATACTTTGCATCCTTCAATACAATCAAGTTGACACTCAGTATTGACCATCACACTTGGTGTAATTCACCAGTTGAGCCAAGGTTTTTAACTGTGAATTTATACATTTAATATATTTAATAGATAAAAAGCTATAGATTATCTATTTCTTCTCAAGTGAGAGCTGATATTATGTCTTGCAAATATTCTGCCTGTTTCATCTACATTATTAAATTCATTTCCATAAATTTGTTATATTTTCTTATTATCCTTTTAATTTTTGTAAGATCTGTAGTGACCCACTTGTCTTCATTTCTAATAAATGTTAATTTTTGTTTTCTTTTTTTTTCTCATTATCTGTGTAAAAGTTTACTACTTTTATTGATCTTTTCAAAGAACCAGCTCTTAGTTTCATTGATTTTTTTTTTTTTTTTTGGTCTTCCTTCATTCTATTTCATTGAATTCTGCTCTTATTTTTATTATTTCCTTCCTTTTGTTTGCTTTGAGTTTAATTTGCTCTTCATTTTCATGTGTCTTAAAGTGGAATTTTAAACCATTGAGTTTTTCTTATCTAATATAAGATTTAATGCTGTAACTACCCCTATCTGCACTTTTTAAGCTACATTACATAGTTTTTGATAATCATATTTTTGTTTTGTGGCTGTTTTTTCTATTATATTTTCTAATTGATATCTGTAAGTTGGTCTTGCATCTAGTATTCTTGAAAATTCTTATTCATTCTTATAATTTGTTGATTCTTTTGAATTTTTTTCATTTCTCCTACAAATGAAAACGATTTTGCCCTCCTTTTAAGATCCTTATGTTAAGGTATTATTTCTTTTCTTGTTATTTTGGCTAAGATACACAATAAAACATTGGTTACTGATAGGCATGGGGCAGTCTTTGTCTTGTTTCTGACTTGAGTGAGATTGTTTCTAATGTGTCTCCATTGTGTATGGTATTTCCTCTAGGTTTTTTGGTAGATATTATTCATCAAATAAAATAAGTTTCATTGTATTTCTAATTTGCTAAGATTTCTACCATGAATGAGAGGAAAATTTCATTGCATGATTTTTTTCTTCATCTGTTGAGATGCTCCTATACTTCTTTTTTTTATAATATGTTAATCTATTTTAAAAAATTACTAGTGGTAATTCAACTCCTTTTCTCTCCTTCATCTTTTTTGGAACTGTGAATTGCACTGATAGGTTATTCAATATTAAGCTCTCCTTTCATTTCAGAGAAAAATCTGCTTGATTACAGATCATATGTGGCTAGATTTATTTGTTTTCCCTTTAAAAAACTGTATCTAGGTTCTTAGGTTGATATTACCAATACTGTTCAATTTTGATAAGAATATTGCATTAAGCTAAAAGGTAGTTTTTATAGCTTTCATCTTTTTCCAGTTTCTGGAACTGTTTGCAGAAGATAAGAATTAATTATTTTTTATTAGTTTAATAAAACTGATTTTAGATCCTGGTGTGATCCCATTCTTTTTTTATTGTATGCAGAGTGTTAGGAGGGAGATTTGATGTTTAGCCTCCTGGTTCAATTTCTGTTCTAATCCATTTAGTTTTGTTTTTTGTTTGCTATTTGCTATTTGTTTTCCTAGGGAATTGTCAATTTCTTCAGTTTTTGAACGTAATGGCTAAAGTTGTTCATAATATTCTTTTATGATTTTGAACAAGTTTTGTTTTTTGTTGAAAGCATATGATTTTTTTTTAAAGTTTGCTTTTTGTTAAAAGTATATGAGGTCTTAATTTAAAATCAAATATTTCTCCAAGATTTGTTAAAAACAACAGCAGATCCCTGCCCAGCTTCCTAGAAGCAACCGTGTTCCACCATTTCAGATTATTCTTTTGGTATTTATACCGTATTTCTAAATAACATGCATATACTGATCCATCTTAATTTAAAATGTTTATGCAAATTTATTAATTTCCTACTCTGGAAGATAAGTGTTCAGATTCTTTGAAATCTGCCCTACTTGTACAACATATATAAGTTTCTTCTCCCATCCCCATACTCTTTTAATTTCAGTATAACTTCGATTTAATTTTTTGTTTATGTTATTATGACCATATCAGTGCCACTTACAGCTGAGCCAGATAACATGTTGTATTAGTTTACCATTGCTGCTGTAACAAATTACCACAAACTTAGTGACTGAAAACAACACAGTTTTAGTTTTTAAATAGTTTTGCAGGTTTTCCAGGGCTAAAATCAAGACATTGGCAGGGCTGTGTTCCTTTTTGGAAGCTCTGAGGAGAACTTGTTTTCTTG
Organism: Homo sapiens; assembly: GCF_000001405.40. Taxonomy (NCBI): domain Eukaryota; kingdom Metazoa; phylum Chordata; class Mammalia; order Primates; family Hominidae; genus Homo; species Homo sapiens. The sequence continues at coordinate 46,976 of NW_025791818.1, read as the reverse complement.
ACTTTTCCGGCTTCTAGAGACTTCCTGCATTCCTTTGCTCCTGGTCCCTTCCCCCATCTTCAAAGTCAGCAATGACCAGGCAAGTCGTTTTCACATCGTATCACTCTGACACTGACTTTTCTGCCTCCCACTTCTGACTCTTCTCCCTCCCACTTCCACTTTTAAGGACCCTTGTGATTACATTGTGTTTACTCAGATAATCCAAATAATCTATTATAAGGTTAACTAATTAGCATCCTTCATTCCATCTGCTATTTAATCACTTTTTGTCCAGTAGCATAACATGCTTACAGGTTCTGGGGATTAGGACATTCACATCTTTGGAAGGCCATTATTCTGCCTACCATATATAAGAGCATTACTTTTCATTTTCTGTGCAAAGTTTAGTTTTCACTGGAATAATTGTCTTTTTAAAATGTGCTTATCATTTATGTACTACTTATCACTACTTCAAGCTCAAACTCTCTTCCAGTGTTGACATGTTTTCTCAGTAAATGCAGACATAAAAGATATTTTATTAGTTTTATCTTCTTATTGAAATTGTTTCTTTACTCTTTTCCCCTATTAAAATTTGGACTGGCTTCTCTCTCTGCTTTGTTCATAGATATCATCCTGGAATCTCCATCACTATCCTTAGATTTCCTTCCTGTTTCTCTTGAGTTGAAAACATTGCTCCACTACCTTCTAGCTTCCAGAGTATCTGCTAGGAAATCTGAAATTATTCTTGAACATCTGTGCTCAATTTCGTCTTTCTTTCTCTTGAAACATGTAGGATATTCTTTTCATCTGTTGTGTTCTAACACTGTTGTAGGTTCTTGTGGATCTATTTTCATCCATTGTGCTGATATTCAGTTGACTTTCAAAAAAAGCCTATGGGATTTTTTTTTGAATTATTTCATTGCTATTCTTTCTTTCCCTCTCATTTACTCATTCTCACACTAGCTCGTTGTCCCTATCTGTATCTCTTTCCCTTTCCCTCCTACTATTTTAATATTGGCCCTACTAGGCTGATTTTATTATTTTCTTACATTTTCTATTGTCCATCTCATTGTCTAAATGCTGTATATTTTGGAAGATATCTTCAACTTTATCTCCCCACACTTCTATAGAGTTTTGCATTTCCCGTATTATGATTTTACACTGTAATGATTTAAAAATATATATCCTTTGAATTTCCTTTTTTTATGGCAACTTGTCCTTTTTTCATAGATGCAATACTGTGATCAGTCCCTAGTTCAGAACCACTTTTTATGTTGTCAGTTTGGGGCTTTTATTCCTTGAAGATATCAAAGGTCAAGTTTTTGAGGCAGTGCTTGGCGTGATGCAAGTCTTAGTTGCATAACTATCTCTACTGCCTACCTGGGCAACACCCCAGTTGCCAGTCTCAGCTTCCTGGGCTGGTCATAGCATTTTTAGAGTTATTCTGCCTAGGAGTTCCCTGCCTCATCGTCTGGTTTCCTGCAGTGATCTAGCTTTGCTACCCTACCATATATTCAATATTATTGGTTTATGTTACCCCACAGTACTTGAACTTCTGGCTGCCTCTTCCTGTTTCCCAGTGGGTAAGTGGTTTTATTCTCTCCAACCCCATCCCCAGCCTATTGCTGAGTTCATTTTTCTGTTTCAGCTGCATGGACATATTTTATTTTTTCTTTAACAGTTGTGGTTGTGTTTTTATTTTTTAATGTATGTTTTATGATTTAGTTGTCATCACTATATTCTATGTTTGAAGCTGAGAGAGGGGGATTTTTTTCCTGTGTGAACTCAAATTACTAGCTTGACATGATAATCCTTCAGGATTTTTAGATGGATAATAAATTCTCCTTCAAATAATGGCTACTCAACATTTGGGAACTTAGTTATGAAGAATTCTCTATGATTAGTTTTCTATACTTAATCTGTAATCATAGATTGCAACATTCACATATCTGAGTATCAGTCTATGTTGTGAAGCAACAGAGATATGGATCCACTCAGGTTAGGTTAAGCAGACAGGTGTTTTTGACTCTGGGATCAGGAACATTGGACTTGCCTAAACCTAGGGCCCCCATTGGTATCAAAGGAAGTTTTGTAGGTCAGGTGAGTGGCAATGGTTACCTCAGGAGGAGAGTCTTATTGTGACAGACAGGAAGAAGAGAAGACAGGAGTGTGAAGAAGTTGTGGTTGCCAGATTGATGTTTGAACTTTAAATGGAAATAGGAAAATTAGATGACAAAACAACTATTTTTAGGTTGAAGACAATGTTTCTGATTGTTTCAGGAGGGGTGAATGGAGCCAATGGAGGTTTTGCCATGGTTTGAGGTCATCTCTAAGGTGGGAAGGCGTGATTTGGCTAGATCTTAAAGGACCTTGTAGGTCAAATTCAGGAGTTTAGTCTTTCCCTCAAGAGCAGTAGGGAGCCTTTGAATAGTTTTAAGCAAGGGAGTAAAGCAATCTGATTCGCATTTTTATGGCCCCCTCTGGTTGCTGTGTGAAGAATAGGTTAATGCTGCAGAAGGGCGGCTGAAGTGAATGTGAGGCCAGTAATGCTGCTTTGGCTAAAATGGTAATCTGGAGAAAGAGAGGGAGGGAGGGAGGGAGAGAGAGACCATGGGTTTGAGAGGTATATTGGAGGTAGATTAATAGAAGTAGTGGAAGGAATATTTAGCAAACACTAGGAAGTCTGGCTGAACTTGTACTTTTCCCTGCATTTCCTTCTTTAAATTTATTTCCTACCAGTTTTCCTGACCTGTCTCACTCACCTATGGGGACTCAGATATCGTTCTTACCTCTCTTTTAATTCAATTCTTTCATATTTAATCTCCAATCTTCTGCTTTATTCCAGTGACACAAGGGCTTGGCTGTGTTCTTGTGCTGGGATCCCATAATCAGTCACTCCATTTTCTTTCTTTGCTTTCCACATTGGTGACCCATTAAGTGCATTCTTCATTTTCAGTGGTCTATTGTTTTTCTTCAATTTCTGGCTTGCTTTCAATCCATCTTTCTCAGTTTTCAGCTGGGACTAACTTGAGAAAAAACCTCTCTTGCTCTTGAGTAGTGGGTGTATGCTTGCCAAATGTTTGCAAAAAAAGTATCTCATTGTACAAGTGGCATTCCAGCTGCATTAACACCCAAGCAGAAATAAGTAAATACTCAATTTTAGAACTCACTGTCATCTTTACTTGTGGAGTGATTGCCTCCTGCTTTCTGAGTGCCTGTTTAGGAATCTATAAATGACACAGTTTCCACAAGCATTTGGGGATCCTGGGCAGTATCTATGCTACAACAATGCTCCTGGTTATATGCTCAGTGGGGGCTGGAGGCTGAAATTGGTATATATTAATGCAACCTTCCTCTGTTTTTGTGTCTAGTCTGCAGATTCTCCACTTTTAGATAAAGGCAGGTTGCCTGAACTATGCACATTGCACATTCCTGTTTATAGCTCCTGTACCCTGGGGACAAACTACAAATCTGCAGTTACTCTTTAGCGTACAGCTTCATCTGTCTGACTGCAGCCCCAGGGACTACTATTGAGAGTAGCTCTTTGGATGAGAGGAGGGACGCCACCGCATAGCAGCCAGGGCTCTGAATCACTGTCTGCAGGGTGCATGTTTTGGAATCTGGGTGCTGAGTTAGAAGGGACTATGAGTCAGTGCACTGTTAGGACGGGGCCAGTTGTATATTGGGCCAGCAGCCTGCGGAGATTATACAAATGAGACAGGGTGTCTCTCCTTCCTTGGTGATTTACTTCTTAAATTATTGTATCTAATTGGTAGGTCTGTGAATCTCTAAGTGGCGTCATTGCTTTGCCAAGTACATTGCAGGGGCAAGTACAAGAATACTTTTAGCTATTACCTGTATTCTCATAAAAAGATGTTTAGGGTAATATAAGCAATATATATGGATGGGTGACAGCTCTCCAGATGTTTTGGTGTGCTGAAGCGCCAGCCAGGATTTGGCTGTAGATGTTGTGGCCAGAGCTGACAAATTCAGTGTTTGCTTATTAGATCTCTTGTGTTATTGATCTCTGCAGAACTCAGATAAATTCAAATTCCACTTCATGAACCTCTTCCTTGGGCATTCGTTGTTTTCTTGGTGAGAAACAGAAAGTTTTAGCTTTCATTTTAGCATCTATTTATTGAGTATATGAAATATATCAGCTGACTGTGCTAGAAGTTAAGGATATAATGGTGACTCAGATAGACCTGGCCCCTGCTTTTTTGGAGTTCGCAATCTAAAAGGGAAGGCATACTTTGAAAAAGTAATTTTCCGGTGAGCCGAATGCTGTGGAAAAGTAGCAGAAAGTGTTATAAAGAAATTAAAAAGCAGACCTAGGTTAGTGGGGAACATGACAGGTAAATTTTCTTTAATGAAGTAATGTTCAAGCTTAGAATGTAAAGATCTATAGCTGTTTGCCATTTCAGTAGTGATAGGGAGAGAGATGGGTAAGAATATTCCAGGGAGAGGGAAAAGGTTGCATGAAGGCCCTGATAATGGCAAAATTCATGCTGCATTCTAGGAAGTAAGAGAAGGTCAGTATGGCTGGAGTGTACAGAATGAGATGTGAAAATAGAGATACAGAGTACAATGCAGTGTTTGGGCCTTATTCCAAGGTCATAGAGGAGTCATTAAAGGACTTTAAACAGGGAATGACATAGTCAGATTTGCAGGTTTCAAAGCTGATTCTGGCAGCAGGCAATGGATTTATTGTCAAAGAAGTCAAAAGTAGCTATAGAGGGAGAATTAGGTGTGAGAGATAATAATGATGACTTCATCTATGGTGGTGCCAAAGGAGATGGAGAACAGTAATGAGGAGGCAGCATAACATACCTGCCGTATTGGGTTATTGTGAGGGTTAAATAACTTAATAAATATAAAGTGCTTAGAACAGTGCCTAACACAGATCATGTTTCAACAATTTTAAGAAGCCCAGTCTCTTCCCATATTTTAATATTTCCCAAATAAGTATGACTCTTAGCTATCAATGACATATCATTGTTTATTTGGCAGCACATTTAATGTGCTAGTGGCATAAAAAATATTGTTGTATCTGAAAATTTGTGGCAACTTAGATGAAATATGATAGTTAAGTGTTAGAGATATATTTGCTCTTATCATTTTTCTATTATTATTATTCTGCCAAAATCTAGTGGGAGATAAACTCAGACACATAGAAACAACTAATGCTAAACCACTTCGAATAAGGAATGCAACGAAGAAAGTACGGAGAAAGGAAGTGACAGAGAAAGTACAGCGGAGGTATACCTACCTGTTTGGAGAAACTGATTTTCATCAAGGGAATTCTTAGAAGTGAGATAGAATCTCACCATGCCCACCACAGGGTTGGATCTAGAGTAGAATTGAGTATGAAGTGTTGACTGTTAGAGACTTGCAACTAACTCTTGCAAGTTAATCAATTCACCTGTACTTGTGAATACATAGCAAACTAAGCAGTATGATTGTAAGAGTGCTTCTTATGAAGACTGGATATCTCTTAATCCAGAAAGAAGATTAACCCTATCTATCACTTGTGCAGCTTCCTTTACATACTAAACATGATTCTAGTTTGTTTTACAAGAATATAATCCTACCCACCCAGTGAGGTAGGTGATGGTATCCACTATTCGCATATGAGGAAGTCCAAGGTCATATGCAGTTATTCTGATCTGGGATTTGAACTTGGTTTCTGTGTGACTCAAAAGTGTTTCCTTTACTCTTAGCTGTGTCTTAAAATGCCAGATTCTGAGTTAAGGGAGAGAATCTGACCTTTCTTGGATGGCATTAAATAATACTAGCTCCTCATTTCCACAATTATAGTTTAGTAGGGGAAGACAGACATTATAATTTTAATTACATAAATAAATAATTGGGAATTATAAGAAGTCATAGGAAGAAAACACACAAAGTTCTGTGTTCGTGGAAAGCAAAGGAGATGGGATTTCTAAAAAGATACTATTTAACCTGGACCTACAGGATGAAAAGGAGCCTGCCATGCAAATTGAGATGAGGAAGAGTTTTCTGGGCCTACACATGGGCTCTGAGATAAGAAGAAACATATTTTATTCAAGAAGTACATCAGGGAAAGGGGACAGAGTAGGAATAGATAAGCAGATAAGGACAGCTCTCCTCCAGGTGCGAGAGTACAAGCAGAAACCAGGACAGAAGTTGAAAGTCACCACTTTAGCCAACTGATCAAACATCACATCACAACATAAAAAACAATCATGTGTCTCCTGATGTGATGCACTAAGGGCACAATATTACTTAGATAGTGTTCTTTCCCCGAACCCATAACCCTAGTTTAATCATGAGAAAACGTCAGGCAAACTCAGATTGAGGGACATTCTGATCTTTTCTCTTTAAAAATTTCATTTTCATGAAAGACAAAGAAAAATTGGGGAAATGTTCCAGACTAAAGGAGACTAAAGAGATATGATAACCAAAGGTGTGATCCTACATTGGATCACACATTTACCTAGACGGGTAAAAATCACTATAGAGAGCGTTATTGGGACAATTGTTGAAACGTACATATGGATTCTAGATTAGATGACAGTGTTGTATCAATGATAAGTTTATTGATTTTGGTAATTGTATATAAGTGGGTTATATACAAGTGTGATATTGTTCTTTAGAAAAATACAAGCCAGGCATGGTGGCTTACACCTGTAATCCCAGCACTTTGGCAGGCTGAGGTAGGTAATTGCTTGAGTCCAGGAGTTTGATACCAACCTAGGCAACGTAACAAGATTCTGTCTCTACAAAAAAAAAAACCTTAGCTGAGCATGATGGAGCATATTGTAGCCTCAGCTACTCAGGAGGCAGAGGTGGGAGAGTTGCTTGAGCCTGGGCCTGGGAGGTCAAGGCTGCAATGAGCCATGATTGTGCCACTTCATTCCAGCCCGGGTGGCAGAATGACACCCTGTAAAAAAAAAAAAAAAAAAAAAAAAAGAAAAGAAAAAGAAAATATACAATGAAGTATTTGCAAGTATACAGATACAATGTGACAAATGTTAAGAAATTGTGCATATGGACAAAGAGTATGTTCTATTTCTGGAATTCGTTTGGAAGTTTGAAATTATTGCCAAACAAAAAGTAAAAACAAAGAAAACATTTAAATAAAACCACTGTGGGCACACCAAAAGCATATTATAGTAGTGAAGATGAATGATAAAAACAGCTTATACCAGGGTAGCTGGCGATGGTGATGGCAGCTACTTTGGGGTGGGGTAGGGGAAAATTGGCCTGACATCATTTAGATGTACAATGTTAAGTTTTGCCTATGCTAATAATTTTCATTATTTTTAAGATTACTCTTGAAGCCATTGAAGCATTTCAAGTGGTGGGGGAGCTGCTGACAAATCAGGTTATGAAATGCTAAACTTGGCTACTGTGTAGGATGGATTAGAAGGAGACAACAGTAGATTCCAGAAAACCAGTTAGCACAGTGTCATATACAAAGTAGATGCTTAGTTATTGTGTGATTGAGGCTTTAGCAGTGGCCAAGAGTGAGTTTGTAATGGCTTGAACTAGTGTTGTGGTGAACAATGTGAAGAGAAATAAATGTTTTTGAGGGGGTGTTAGGGGGTAAAATTGATAAAAAGTTAGACGAAATAGACATGGGGGCTGTTGGAAAGGGAGATGTGAAAGATGACTTGTCGGTTTCTGATTCTGCAGTTGGGTAGATGATGGTACTGTTCACTGAGATAGGGAATGATGGAAGATTATTTGATTTTGGGAGAATGCTGGGATCTAGAGAAAATTAATTCAATCACACAGTTCAAAAATAAAATGAAAAATAAAGATACACAATACAAAAATTGTTCTTATTACAATCCCTATGAATCATGTTCTTTTCCCACAACCCTAAAATAGCTAACTTTCAAATTAATATATTAGTTATCTTCCCACAGTTTTAAAATATTGTTTTAGTGTGTATTTTTATGATTGCTATTGAGGTTGAATATATTTTTACATTTGTTATCCATTTGTAATATCCAAATGTAATATTACATTTGTTATCCATTTGTATATTCCATTTGTAATCCAATTGTAATACCAATATCCTTGGTAATTATTTGTCCACATCCTTTCTTCAATTTTGTATTTTCTTTGATGTTTTAATTACTGATTCATATTAGCTCCTCATATATCAGGAATGTTGATATTTTCTTCTAAACCCTAGTCTGTTGCTTAGCTCAAACATTATTGATTTTTTTGTTACAGAGAAGTGTAAAATTAAAGTGTACAGAAATATCTTCATCTTTCCCAAGTTCATAAAAATATGCTCCTAAATATTTTAATATATTCAGTATTTGTTGTTCACATTTAGTAGCATTTTATTCCATTGTGCATAAAAGCCTAACTTTATTTTCTAAAAGGATACATTTGTCCAGTGCAACTTATTGAATACTTCATAATTTCCTCATTGGTCATAAATTGTTCTTTCATCCTACACTAAATTCCTGTATACATATGAATCTATTCCTGGAACCCTTGATTTAATTTCACTTATTCTTTTTCTATTTTTACCTCAGTACCAAACTTTAAATTTGTCAGGTTTGTTAAAATAACTAATTCATGCGCAAGGGTCATAATTAAGTACAAAGATGTCTACAGTGAAAAGTAAATCTCTTTACCATTTGTGCCCAAGTGTCAACAAGTTCCCCTGTGAGGAGGCAACACCTATCACCAGTGTTTTGGTGCATACACATCATGACACACAAATATTCTAGTACTACAATGCTTCATTTCTTTAGTTTTATAGTATTTGTTGTTCATTATTAGATGAAATATCTTCTCATAGCATTTTTCAAAATATAATTACAAGCATTTTCTTATAAACCTTAAGCTTGACAAGTTTTTAATTTATTTTAATTGACAAATGAAAAATGTACATATTTATGGCATACAACATGATGTTTTGAAATATGTATACATTGTGGAATGTCTAAATAGACATATTTATTAACATATGTATTACCATTACCTCACATCCTTTTGGTGAGATTGCTTGAAATCTACTCTTCTAGCGAGTTTCAAATATACAATAGATTGTCATGGACTATTGTCACCATGTTGTATAATAGATCTCTTAAGTTCATTCCTACCGTTGAACTGAAATGTTGTATCCTTTGAGCAACATTTCCTCAATCTTTAAGAATATTGTGTTGGGAATTTTATTAGAAGTACATTACATTATAGAAAATCTTGAAACCACTAGTATCTATAAAATATTTCGCTCTCTCCAGTCAGAAACGTGCTATATTTCCATTTACTCGGGTCTTCTTTTCAATAGATGTTTTGTTTAAAGAAAACTTTCTAAATTGAAGTATAGCATATATGGAAAAAATGCAAAATCCTAATTGTACAGCGCAATGAATTTTTGTTAAATGTAACCACTATCAGGGTCAGAAAATAAAAAAAAAATTAACACACCAGAACCATCTCTTTATGTCTTTCTTGGCCATTGTCCATACTCCCCCCACAAAGATAACTAATACCCTGATTTCTTATAGTAGTTTCACTTGTTTTTAAACTTTATATAAGTCGAATAATATTCTTTATACTCCAGTATGTACTTTCTTGTGTATGGCTTGTTTTATTCAACATGATTTTGAGATTCATCCACGTTGTTGCAAAAGCTATAGTTCATTAATTTTTAGTGCTATGTAGTAGTCTCTTCTATAAATATACCACAATTATATATCCCTCCTACTGTTGATGGACATTTAAGTTTTATCTCGTTTGATACTATTATAAGTAATGTTGCAATAAAACATTTGTATACATTTCTTTTGCTGAACACATGTCCACATTTTGTTGTCTGTATAACTAAGATGAGAATTTTGGGGTCATAGGGTATGCATATTTTCAACTTATTAGATACTGCCAAGAAGTTTCCAAAGTTTTTGTTCAGATTTACACATCCACTGGCAGTGTATGAAAGATCTTATGGCTCTCCATCCTGCCCACCAATTACTACTGTTATACATTTAAATTTTAGATATTATAATATGCTTGTTTTGGTATCTTATCATAGTAATTTAGATTTACATTTCCCTGATGACTTTTGAGATTGATCATAATTTCATATGCTATTTGCCATTTGGATGTTCTTAAACATTTTTTGAAAAGTTTATTCAAATAATTTGTTCATTAGTCTATTCAATTGTCACCATTTGCTTTTTACTGATTTATAATTCTTTATATTCTGAATACTAGTCCTCTGTCAAATATATGTATTGCATGTTATCTTTTCCCACCCCATGGGGCTTGCCTTTTCACTCTTATTTGTATTGTCTTTTGATGAACAGATATTCTTAATTTTAATTTAGTCTAGTTGATCAGACTTTTACTTTATGGTTAATACTTTTTAGTTCCATTTAAGAAATACTTGCCTACCTCAGTATCATGAAGATATTATCCTATGTTATCCTCTAGAAGCTTTATTGTTTTACATTATACAAACACACACGTATATATTTAAGGATATATATACAGTAAGTCTTCACTTAATGGCATCAGTAGGTTCTTGGAAACTATGACTTTCATGGAAACAGCATACTATATAACAAAACCAATTTTACCATAAGCTAATTGATATAAACGAGTAAATTTCTATGGCTTACAGTATGTTGTTTCCTTGAAAATTGCAGTTTCCAAGAACCTACTGACAACATTAAGGTGAGGACTTACTGTACCTATATAACGAAAGGTATATATTAATTGTATATATAGGTGCCTTGTGTGTGTGTGTGTGTGTGTGTGTGTGTGTGTGTATAATGTGTAAATATCAGTGTGTTAGTCCATTCTCACTCTGCTATGAAGAAATACCCAAGACTGGGTAATTTATAAAGGAAAGAGGTTTAATTGACTCACAGTTCCGCATTGCTGGGGAGGCCTCAGGAAACTTACAATCATGGTGGAAGGTAAAGGAGAAGCAGGCACCTTTTTCACAGGGCGACAGGATCCACTATCTCCACCTGGTCCCGACCTTGACACGTGAGAATTATGGGGATTATAATTGAGGTGAGATTTGTTTGGGGACACAGAGCCAAACCATATCAATCAATATAATTAATTTATTTGTATGATGTGTGGTAGTATTCAAGAGTTATTCATTTCTATGTGGATATCCAAAAGTTAACCAATTAATTAATCTGGTAGTATAATCCCTCTTTTGTCCTTTTCGTTCTAAATTTTAGAATCGGATTGCCAATTCCCAGACAGTAAAGGACCTCTTGGAATTTGTTTTGCAATTGCACAAAATCTATGGTCAATTTTGGGATAATTATTATTTTTACAAATTGTAGTGTTCTAATTTGGGAACATGATATATCTGTCCATTTATTATGTTTTTATTTTTTAGTGTTATTTGATGCTATTTTAAATGTATCTTTGTAAAAAAAATCACTTTCTAAATTTTTTTGTGGTATTTAAAATATAATCAATTTTAGAATATTGATCTTGTGCTCAGAGTTACTGATGAATCCATTTATTAATGCTACTAATTTATCTGTAGTTTCATTAATTTTTCAAATAATTTAATTTTCATTTCTTGATTTTAAGTTTTTACAAATTTCATATTTTTCCTGCCTTATTGTATTGCCTAAGACCTCTAGTACAATGCTGAACGTAAGCAGAGATCATAGGCATCTTCTATTTCATTCCTGACCTTGGGGGAAATTTCTCATTATTTCACCATTAAGTATGATTTTCACTATAGAGTTTTTAAAATACCCTTTATCAGATTAAGAAGTTTCCATTTTTAGTTTGCAAAGACTTTTTAAAAAATCATTAATGGGTATTGAATTTTATCAGATTTTTTTTCTACATCTATTGAGTTGATCATATATTTTTCTCCTTTATTCTGTTAATATGATGAACTGCATTGACTGATTTTCAAGTGTTAAACCAGCCTTTTATTCTTTATATAAATCCTACTCTTCGTGTTATTTTGCAACACAGGATGGGAACTATGTGTATGCATGTGTGTGTATATGTGTGAGTTTTAAAATTTTTGCACCCACATTTATAAGTGAGATTGGCCGTCAGTTTTCTTTTTTCTGTCAAGTTTGTGTGAGGTTTTGGGATTAAGGTTATGTTAGCTTGAAAAATGAATTGGGATGAAAAACTATTTTTTTTTCTTTACATTCTGGAAGATATTATGTAAGACTGATGCTATTTATTCTTTAAATGTTGAGAGGAATTCACTGGTAATGCCATCTGGGACTCAAGTTTTCTTTGGGGGAAAGTCTTTAGTGATAGATTCAATTTCTTTAAGAGTTATAGGAGTATTGGGATGTTTTTATTACCTTCTTTTGTCAGTTTTAAGTTATGTTTTCAAAGAAATACGTTTTTCTAAATTTTCATGTTTTTTGGCATAAAGTCCATTTTAAAAATATGATACCTCTTTTCTCTTTAGTGTCTATTGGATCTGTAATGATGCCCTCCTTTCCATTCCTAACAGTAGTTGTTTGGTTATTTTCATTTTTTCATTTGTTATTCATCAGGCTTGCTGGTGGCTTTTAATTTTCTTTTTTCTTCTTTTTTTGTGTGTTACATTTATTTTTTATTTTATTTTGTATTATACTTTAAGTTTTAGGGTACATGTGCACAACGTGCAGGTTTGTTACATATGTGTACATGTGCCATGTTGGTGTGCAGAACCCAGTAACTCGTCATTTAACATTAGGTATATCTCCAAATGCTATCCCTCCCCGCACCCCCCACCCCACAACAGACCCCGGTGTGTGATGTTCCCCTTCCTGTGTCCATGTGTTCTCATTGTTCAATTCCCACCTATGAGTGAGAGCATGCGGTGTTTGGTTTTTTGTCCTTGCGGTAGTTTGCTGAGAATGATGGTTTCCAGCTTCATCCATGTGCCTACAGAGGACATGAGCTCATCCTTTTTTATGGCTGCATAGTATTCCATGGTGTATATGTGCCACATTTTCTTAATCCAGTCTATCATTGATGGACATTTGGGTTGGTTCTAAGTCTTTGCTATTGTGAATAGTGCCGCAATAAACATACGTGTGCATGCACCTTTATAGCATCATGATTTATAATCCTTTGGGTATATACCCAGTAATGGGATGGCTGGGTCAAATGGTATTTCTAGCTCTAGATCCCTGAGGAATCAACCAACTTTTGTATTTGCTGGGCCTCTTTATTACAGATTTTTTATTTCATTGATTTTTGATTTTATATTTGTTATTTTGTTCTTTCTACTTTCTTCGGTTTTAACTTGCTTTTATTCTACTATTTTAGATGTATAATTAGATCACAGATTTATATACTTCCGTCTTTTCAAATACATGTATCTAAGCCTATAAATTTCTCTCTGATAATGGCTCTGTTGTATCCCAGAAATTTTGATTTGCTATATTTTCATTTTCAGGTAGTACAAGATGTTTTCTGGTTTAATTTGGATTTCTTCTTTGCACCATGGTTTATTTAGAATTAATTTGCTTAATTTCCAAATTGAGATGATTTTCTATTTGTTATTAATTTTTTCTAACTTAATTAAATTGTGGTCAGAGAATATATTTTGACTCCAATCATTTGAAATTGGTGTGGTCTGCTTCATGGCCCATTCAACAGTAAATTTTGTTTAGGTTAAATATGTATTTCAAAAAATGCAATTCTTGCACTTTTGGGTGTTATGTTTTAAGTATGTCATTTAGGTTAAGTTTGTTAATTATTTTGTTGCAATCATATGTATCTTTACTGGTATCTGATGGCCGGTACTATTAGTTACAGTTATTACATCCTGAAATCCAGTTATGACATATTTAATTCTATAATATCTATTTTTTCATTTTTTTTCTTTTTTTTCTTCTTTTTTTTATTATACATTAAGTTTTAGGGTACATGTGCACATTGTGCAGGTTAGTTACATATGTATACATGTGCCATGCTGGTGCACTGCACCCACTAACTCGTCATCTAGCATTAGGTATATCTCCCAGTGCTATCCCTCCCCCCTCCCCCCACCCCACAACAGTCCCTGGAGTGTGATATTCCCCTTCCTGTGTCCATGTGATCTCATTGTTCAATTCCCACCTATGAGTGAGAATATGCGGTGTTTGGTTTTTTGTTCTTGTGATAGTTTACTGAGAATGATGATTTCCAACTTCATCCATGTCCCTACAAAGGACATGAACTCATCATTTTTTATGGCTGCATAGTATTCCATGGTGTATATGTGCCACATTTTCTTAATCCAGTCTATCATTGTTGGACATTTGGGTTGGTTCCAAGTCTTTGCTATTGTGAATAATGCCGCAATAAACATACGTGTGCATGTGTCTTTATAGCAGCATGATTTATAGTCCTTTGGGTATATACCCAGTAATGGGATGGCTGGGTCAAATGGTATTTCCAGTTCTAGATCCCTGAGGAATCGCCACACTGACTTCCACAGTGGTTGAACTAATTTACAGTCCCACCAACAGTGTAAAAGTGTTCCTATTTCTCCACATCCTCTCCAGCACCAGTTGTTTCCTGACTTTTTAATGATCACCATTCTAACTGGTGTGAGGTGGTATCTCATTGTGGTTTTGATTTGCATTTCTCTGATGGCCAGTGATGTTGAGCATTTTTTCATGTGTTTTTTGGCTGCATAAAATCTTCTTTTGAGAAGTGTCTGTTCATGTCCTTCGCCCACTTTTTGATGGAGTTGTTTGTTGTTTTCTTGTAAATTTGTTTGAGTTCATTGTAGATTCTGGACATTAGCCCTTTGTCAGATGAGTAGGTTGCGAAAATTTTCTCCCATTTTGTAGGTTGCCTGTTCACTCTGATGGTAGTTTCTTTTGCTGTGCAGAAGCTCTTTAGTTTAATTAGATCCCATTTGTCAATTTTGTCTTTTGTTGCCATTGCTTTTGGTGTTTTAGACATGAAGTCCTTGCCCATGCCTATGTCCTGAATGGTAAAGCCTAGGTTTTCTTCTAGGGTTTTTATGGTTTTAGGTCTAACGTTTAAGTCTTTAATCCATCTTGAATTGATTTTTGTATAAGGTGTAAGGAAGGGATCCAGTTTCAGCTTTCTACATATGGCTAGCCAGTTTTCCCAGCACCATTTATTAAACAGGGAATCCTTTCCCCATTTCTTGTTTTTCTCAGGTTTGTCAAAGATCAGATAGTTGTAGATATGTGGTGTTATTTCTGAGGGCTCTGTTCTGTTCCATTGATCTATATCTCTGTTTTGGTACCAGTACCATGCTGTTTTGGTTACTGTGTAGCCTTGTAGTATAGTTTGAAGTCAGGTAGTGTGATGCCTCCAGCTTTGTTCTTTTGGCTTAGGATTGACTTGGCGATGCGGGCTCTTTTTTGGTTCCATATGAACTTTAAAGTAGTTTTTTCCAATTATGTGAAGAAAGGCATTGGTAGCTTGATAGGGATGGCATTGAATCTGTAAATTACCTTGGGCAGTATGGCCATTTTCACGATATTGATTCTTCCTACCCATGAGCATGGAATGTTCTTCCATTTGTTTGTATCCTCTTTTATTTCCTTGAGCAGTGGTTTGTAGTTCTCCTTGAAGAGGTCCTTCACATCCCTTGTAAGTTGGATTCCTAGGTATTTTATTCTCTTTGAAGCAATTGTGAATGGGAGTTCACTCATGATTTGGCTCTCTGTTTGTCTGTTGCTGGTGTATAAGAATGCTTGTGATTTTTGTACATTGATTTTGTATCCTGAGACTTTGCTGAAGTTGCTTATCAGCTTAAGGAGATTTTGGGCTGAGACAATGGGGTTTTCTAGATATACAATCATGTCATCTGCAAACAGGGACAATTTGACTTCCTCTTTTCCTAATTGAATACCCTTTATTTCCTTCTCCTGCCTAAGTATTGTATGAAAATTTCCATTATGTCTATTTTTTTAAAAAATGAATCATCATTATTTAATTGGCCATGCAATTATTACAGTACATAGATTGCATCTGAGACTTTTTCTAGTATTTTCTTTTCCTTTCTGAGTCTTATCTTATTATTGGTAATTGCTGTTTGAATGCTGGGCATTTTAAGTGAAATAGAGAAAGCCCTAGTTAATGTTACCTTTAAAATGTTTTTTATTTTGAAATAATAAACTCATGGGAAGTCGCAAATAATAAACTCATGGGAAGTACATAGAGACCTATAAACTTTTTACTTAGAGTCACCCAATGGGAATTCTGATAATGACGGTAGTACAATGTTAACTATGCCATAGACTTCATTAATATTATTATATTGCAACAATAAAGGAATGGTTTGATGTGTGCTCTTTTTTGTGTGTCTCTATGTCTATAGTTCTATGCAATATAATCCCATGTATAGATTTATGTAATCCCCATCACAATCAAGATAAAGAACTGTTCAATCACCATAAATATAAAACCCCTCATGTTACTCCTTTATAGTAGTATCCGTCCCTGTCTCTTTCCATGAAACCATGAATCTGTTCTCCATCTCTATGGTTGTGTCAGTTTGATAATATTACATAATTGTAATTATATACTGTGTAACTTTTTTAAAATTGGCTTTTAGAAAATTAATAGGGTTTATATTTTAGAGTAGTTTTAGGTTTACAGAAAAATTGAGGAGAAAGTACAGAGTTCCTATATATTCTTTTCTTCCTCTCCCTCTGAGTTTCCCCTATTATTAACATCTTGCATGATGTGGTACAGTTGTTACTATGAATGAGTGAATATTAGATACATTTTTATTAACTAAAGTATATAGTTTGCATTAGAGTTCACTCTGTGTTGCACAGTTCTGTGGGTTTTGACAAATGTATAATGCATTGTATCCACCAATACAGAATAGTTTCATTGCCCTAACAATCCCCAGTGGCCCACCTACTTAACTCTCCCTCTTTTCCTCCAAGCCCTTGGCAACCACTAATCTTTTTAGTCTTTATGTAGTATTTTCCAAAATGTCATAATTAGCACTATACAGTCTGTAGCCTTTTCTGATTGGCTTCTTTCACTTAGCAATATACATTTAAGGTTCCTCCATGGTTTTTTTTTTTTTTTTGGTGGTTCGATAGCTCATTTTTTTTAGTGGTGAATAATAATATTGCATTGTTTGTATGTGTCACAGGTCATCTTGGTTGCTTCCAAGTTTTGGCAATTATGAGCAAAGCTGCTATAAACATTTTTGTGTAGGCTTTTGCTTGTAAATAAACTTTCAAATCATTTGGATAAATACCAAGGAGTGTTATTGCTGGATCATATGGTAAAAGTATGTTTAGTTTTGTAAATAACTGCCAGACTGTCTTCCAAACTGGTTGTATCATTTTGCATTACCAGCAGCAATGTACGAGAATTCCTGTTGTTCCACATCCTCATCAGCATTTGGTATTGTCAATGTTTTGGAATTTAGCCACTGTAATAGATGAAAGTGGTATTTCATTGTTGTTTTAATCTGCGATTCCCTAATGATATGTGATGCCGAGAATCTTATCGTATGCTTGTTTATCATATGTATATTTTCTTTGGTGAAAGAATGACACTTTGACTAAGCATGATGATCTTGAGTTCCATTCAGGTTACTTCAATACATGCAGCAGTACTTGATACCAGTAATTGGTACCTTTTCATTACTAAGTAGTATTCTGTAGTATGAATGTACTAGAATCTGTTTATTTACCTGTAAAAATATTTTTGCGTTGTGTCCAGCTTGATCCTATTAAAAATAAAGGTGGTGTGAACATCCATGTACAGGTTTTTGTATGTACATAAAATTCCATTTCTTTGGGATGAATGTCCAAGAATGACATTGATACGTCTTATGGTAGGTGCATGTGTGGTTTTTAAGAATCTGCCAAACAATTTTCCAGAGTGCTTTTACCATTTAATATTTAAATGAGAATAGCTTTTTTTATTTTGCTTTGTAAGTCTGTTGCTAGTATATAGAAATAAATTTTTTTTTCGCATATTGATCTTGTGTCCTGTGACTTTGACAAACTCATTATTGGTAGGAGATTTTTTTTTTATTCCTCGGGATTTTCTACATAATGAATTGTTATCTGCAAACAGAGACAGTTTAAAGTCTTTCCTTCCATTCTGTAGGCTTTTTGTTTCCTTTTTTTTCTTTATTGTATTGGTTAGGATTTCTAATATTGTGTTAAATAAAAGTGGTAAGAACGGACACCTTCGCCTTGATTTTAGGAGGAAACATTTCACCATGAACTATGATGCAGCTCAACGTTTTTTTCAGGCGTTCTTTATAAAGTTGAGCAAGTTTTCTTCCATGCCTAGTTTGCTGCAAGTTGTTTTTATAAATCATGTATAGGTACTGGATTTTGTGAAATGATATTTCTGCATTATATAGTTTTGCCTCTTTGGCATGTTGTTATGGTGGGTTAAATTGATTGTCAAATGTTCAACCGACCTTGCATAACTGGAATAAATCTTACTTAATTAAGATGTATAATTAGTTTTATATTTGATGGACTCAATTTGCTAATGTTTTCTTGAGGATTTTTGTGTTTATATTCATGAAGGATATTTGCCTATAATATTCCTTTTTTTCTGTACTGCCCTTGTTTGGTTTTTGGAACCAGGACAATACTGGCCTCATAAAATCCGTTTATTACTGTTCTTTCCTATTCACCTTTTGAAAAGAGATTTTGTTGAATTGGAGTTATTTTTTTTTTAATATATGGTAAATTCTCTAGTGAAGCCATCTGGTCTGGGATTTCATTCTTTAAGGTTTTTGGTGAGAATTCAGCTGATAATCTTATTGAGGATCATTTGCATGTGATAAGTTGCTTCTCTCATGCTGCTTTCAAAATTTTTTGTTTTTGTCTTTCAAAAATGTAATCATAAAGTGTCTTGGCCTGGATGTATTTGAATTTATTAAACTTGAAGTTCGTTGCACTTCTTGGTTTCATAGAGTCGTGTCTTTCTTAAAATTTGGGAAATTTTCAGCCATTAGTTCTTCAAATGTTCTTTCTGCTCTTTTCTCTCTCCTCCTCCTCTGAAACGCCCATTATGCAAATGTTCCACATGTCTCTTAGGTTTTATTATTATTCTTTTTTAAACCATTTTAAAGTGTACGTTTCAGTGACATTTAATACATTCACATTGTTGTGCAACCATCACCACTATCTGATTCCAGAACACTTTGTCATCCCAAAAGTAAACCTCATACCTATTAGGCAGTTACTCCCCATTCCCCTCTTTCTCAAACCCCTCATGAACGCTAATCTTCATTTTGTCTCTATGGATTTACCTATTCTGGATATTTTGTATATATGGAATCATACAATATGTGGTCTTTTATGTCCATTTTCTTTCACTTAACATAATGTCTTCTAGGTTCATCCATATTATAGAATGTATTAGTACTTCATTTCTTTTTATGGAAAAATAATATTCCATTTTATAGTTGCCACATTATATAGTTGCCACATACTCACAATGTGTATGTCACATTTGTTTATCCACTCATCCGTTGACAGATATTTGTGTGGTTTCCATCTTTTGTCTATTGTGAAGTGTACTGCTATGACATTCATGTACAATTTTTCATTTGAACATGTGTTTTGAACTTTTTTGGGTATATACCCAGGAGTGGAATTGCTGAGTCATAAGTGAATTCTGTGTTTAACTTACTGAGGACTCACCAAACTGTTTTTAAACAGTAGCTGAGCCAATTTGCATTCTCATCAGCAATATATAAGGGTTCTAATCTTTCCATATCTTTATGAACACTTGCTTTTATCTTTTTTTAATGTCACCATCTTAGTGGATGTGAAGTGGTATGTTACAATTTTTATTTGCATTTCATGTTGGCTAAATGATGTTGAACATTTTTTCGTGTGCTTGTTGGTCATTTCTGTATCTTTTTTTGGAGAAATGTTTATTCATTCCTTAGCCCACTGAAAAAAATTTGGTAAGAAGCTGGTAACCTTTATGTGATTCTTTTTTTAAAAAACAGCTTTATCGAGATATAATTTACATACTGGAAATTACTTGTAGCCCATCTTTTAATTAGGTAATTAACTTTTTGTTACTGAGTTGTAAGAGTTCTTTATATATTGAGGGTACTAGACCCACTGCAGATAGATGATGAACAAATATTTTCTCTCACTTGTGGATGTCTTTTCACTCCCTTGATTGCATCATTTGATGCATAGAAGTTTTTGTTTTTGATGGAATCCAATTTATCTATCTTTTATTTTGTTCCTTGTGCTTTTGGTGTTGTATCTAAGAAATCATTTCCTAATTCATGTTCATGAAGACCAACCTCTATTTTTCATCTAATAATTTTATAGTGTTAGCTCTTAGAGGTAGATGTTTGAACGAGTTTGAGTTAAATTTTGCATATGATAAGTGAAACAGATCCAGCTCCTTTTGCATATGGATATCCAGTTGCCCCAACATTTTTCTTCATTATTTTTTTCTTTTTTCTCTACAGAAAGTAATCCCAATTGATTCTTTTTTTCCGCTGCTCAAATATACTGTTGAATCTTCATAGTAAAATTTTCATTCCAGTTATACTTTTTAACTTCAGAATTTTTATTTGGTTCTTTTTTTATTACTTATTTATTTTGGTTGTTGTTCATTTTTGAGACAGGGTCTCACTCTGTCACCCAGGCTTGAGTTCAGTGGCACGATCATGGCTCACTGCAGCCTCCATCTGCTAGGCTCAAGTGATCCTCCCACCTCAGCCTCCCAAGTAGCTGGGACTACGGGCACATACCACCATGCCCACCTGATTTCTTATTTTTTAATTTTGTAGATACAGTGTCTCACTATGTTACCCAGGCTGGTCTTGAACTCCTGGTTGCAAGCGATCTTCCCACCTTGGCCTCCCCAAGTGCTGGGATTACAGACATGAGTCACCACATGCATCCTTCGTTCCTTTTTATAATTTCTATTTCTTATTGATAATTTCTGTTTGGTGAGACATTTTTCGCCTGGTTTCCTCTAGTCTTTGCTCATGGTTTTCTTTAGCTCTTTGAACATTTTTAAAACAGTTTATTTGAAGTCTCTTCCTAGTGAGTCCAATGTCTTAATTTTGTCCAGGGACAGTTTCTATTAATTTTCTTTTTTGTTGTGAATGACACATATTTTCTTGTATTTTTGTGTGATTTGTATATCTTCTTTGGGGAAATGTTTTTGGAATAATATTCATTTTGAATATTATACTGTGTTCACTGTGGAGATTAAATTTTCCCACTTCCCCAGGATTGGTTACTATTGCTTTTTTGTGAGTTTGTTTGTTTAATGATTTTTTATAAACAATTTATTTAATTTTTTAATAATTAAAATTTTTATTTGAAATAATTATGGGTACATAATAGTTCTATATGTTGATAGAGTATATGTGATGTTTTTGTTTTTTAAATATAAAATTTGTTATTAATTATTATGGATACATGATAGTTATACATATTTATGGGGTACATGTGATGTCTTGATGCAGGCATACAATGTCTATTGATCAAATGGCATAATTGGGGTACCCATCACCTCAAGCATTTTTCATTTCCTTGTGTTAGGAACATTCCAATTTCACTTTTTTTTATTTAAAAATACACGATAAATTATTGTTAACTATATTCACTCTGTTCTACTATCAAATACTACCTCTTGTTCCTTCTAACTGTATATTTGTGCTCAATAACCATTACCTCTTTATCCTTCCCCCCACAACCCTTCCCTGCGTCTGATAACCCTCATTCTACTCTTTATGTTGGTGAGTTGAATTGTTTTAATTTTTAGTTCTCACAAATGAGTGAGAACATGCAAAGTTTTTCTTTTCATGCCTGGCTTAGTTCACTTAACATAATGAATAATGTCCTGCAGTTCCATCCATGTTTTTGCAAATGGCAGGATTTCATTCTTTTTTATGACAAATAATATTTCATTGTATATATGTCCCACATTTCCTTTACCCATTTATTCATTGATGGACTTTAGGTTGATTCTCTATTTTGCCTATTGTTAATACAGCTGCAATAAACATAACAGTGCAGATATCTCTTTGTTAGATTGATTTCCTTTCTTTTGGGTATATAATGAACAGTGGGATTGCTAGGTCATACGATAGTTCTCTTTTTATTTTTTTGAGGAATCTTTGTACTGTTCTCCATAGTGGCTGTACTAATTTACCTTTCCACCAACAGTGTATGGGGGTTGCCTTTTCTCCACATCTTTGCCAGCATTCATTATTGCCTATCTTTTGTTCATTTATAAATCAGATTTTTTTTGGTATTGAGTTGTTTGGGCTCCTTGTATATTCTGGTTATTAATCTCTTTTCACATGGGTAGTTTGCAGATATTTTCTTCTATTCTACAAGTGGCCTCTTTGTTGACTGTTTTCTTTGCTATGTAGACTTTTGGCTTTATGTGACTCCATTTGTCCATTTTTGCTTTGTTTGCCTGTGCTTTTGAGGTCTTAGTCAATAAATCTTTGCACAGACCAATGTCCTGGAGTGTTTCCCTAATGTTTTCTTTCAATAGTTTTATAGTTTCATATCTTAGATTTAAGTTTTTAACCCATTTTGATTTGATTGATTGATTTCTTTCTTTAGAGACAGGGTATCACTCTGTCACCCTGGCTGGAGTGCAGTGGTGCAATCATAGCTCACTATAACCTCAAACTCCTAGACAAGAGTGAACCTCCTGAATAGCAGAAACTACAGGCATGTACCACCATGCCTGGATAATTTTTTAAAAATTATTTTTTGTAGAGATTGGGTCTCACTATGTTACCCAGGCTGGTCTCAAACTCCAGGCCTCAAGCGATCTTCCTGCCTCAGCTTCCCAAAGCACTTGAATTACAGGCATGAGCCACCATGCCTGGCCAATTTTATTTTTATGTATGGTGAGAAGCAGGGGTTGAATTTCATTCTTCTGCATATTGGATATCCAGTTTTCTCAGCAACATATATTGAAGGGGTGTCCTTGTCCCAGTGTATGTTCTTGTCATCTTTGTCAAAAATGAATTGGTCACAAATGCATGGATTTATATCTGATTTATCTATTCTATTCCATTGGTCTATATGTCTGTTTTTATCCCAGGGCCATGCTACTTTAGTTACTATACCTTTGTAGTATAATTTAAAGTCAGGTAATACGATTTCTCCAGGTTTTTTTTTTTTTTTTCCTCAGGATGACTTTGACTTCTCCTGGTCCTTGGTGGTTGTGGTTCCATATACATTTAGGACTATTTTCTCTATTTCTGTGAAGAATATCTTTGGCATTTTGATAGGGACTACATTGAATCTGTGGATTGCTTTGCATAGAATGGACATTTTAACAGTATTGATTCTTCTAAAATCCGTGAACTATCTTTCCATTTTCTTGTCTGACAATTTCTTACATCAACATTTTGCAGTTTTCATTGTAGATATCTTTCATTTTTTGTTTATTTCTAGATATTTTATTTTATTTGTAGCTATTGTAAATGGGAATACTTTCTTTGTTTCTTTTTCAGATTGTTCACTGCTGACATATAAACATGCTACTAATTTTTGCATGATGATTTAGTATCCGGCAACTTTACTGAGTTTTTAAAAATCAGTTATAATGGTTTTTTTTGGTAGAATCTTTTGGTTTTTAACAATATAAGATTATATCTGCAAAAAAGGATAATTTGACTTCTTCTTTTCCAGTTTGTATGCCCCTTATTTCTTTATCTTGTCTAATTGCTCTGGCTAGGACTTCCAGTACTATGTTGAATAAAAGTGGCAAAAGTGAGCATTCTTCTTTAGTTCCAGATGTTAGAGGAAAGACTTTCCATTTTTCCCTGCTCAGTATGATACTAGTGTGGGTTTGTCATATATGGCTTTTATCATGTTGAGATATGTTCTTTCTGTACCCGGATTTTGAGAGTTTTTGTCATGAAGGGATGTTGAATTTTATTGGATGCTCTTTTTTTTGACATCATTTGAAATGATCATATGGTTTTTGTCCTTCATTCTATTGATAATAATGTATCACACTGATTGGTTTGCATATGTTGAAACATCCTTTTATTCCTGACTCATCTCTTGGTCATGATGAGTGATCTTTTTAATGTGTTGTTTAATTCAGCTTACTAGTATTTTGTTGAGGATTTTAGCGTCTATGTTCATTAGTGATGCTGGCCTGCAATTTGTTGCTGTTGTTGTGTCTTCCTCTGGTTTTGGTATTGGTGTAATACTGGCCTCATAGAATGAGTTTGGAAGTATTCCCTCTGCATTTTTTGGGGACAGTTTCAGTAGAATTGATGTTAGTTCTTCTTTAAATGTTTGATAGAATTCGGCAGTGAAGCCATCAGGTCCTGAGCTTTTCTTTGATGGAAGACATTTTATTACTTCTTCTATCTCATTACTTTTTATTGATCTCTTCAGCTTTTGGATTTCTTCATGGTTCAATCTTTGTAGGTTGTATATGTCTAGGAATTTATCAATTTCTTCTAGGTTTTCCAATTTATTGGCATATAGTTGCACATAATAATCTCTAATAATCCTTTTAGTTTCTGTGATATTATTTGTAATGTCTCCTTTTTCATCTCTGATTTTATTCATTTGAAATTTTTCCTTTTTTTGTAAGTTAGTTGGGCTAAATATTTGTTGATTTTGTTTATTTTTTTAAAAACAAGTTTTCATTTTGGTGATCTTTTGTATTTTTTTAGTGTCAATATCATTTATTTCTGCTCTGCTCTTTATTATTTCCTTTCTTCTACTAACTTTGAGTTTGTTTTGCTCTTCCTTTTCTAGTTTTTAAGATGAAGCCTTAGGTTATTTATTTGTAGCTTTTCTACCTTTTCAATCTAGGTGTTTATGCTAAAAACTTCCTTCTTTGTATTGCCCCATAGGCTTTGATATGTTGTGTGTTCATTTTCATTTGTTTCAAGAATTTTTTAAAAATCTTTTTACTTGTTTATTGGCCCAATGGTCATTCAGGAACATATTTAATTTTCATGTGTTTGTATACTTCCAAAATTCCTCTTGTTATTAATTTCTAGTTATATTCCATGTGAATGGAAGAAAAAGATAGCTTATGTAATTTTTTTATTTTTTGAGACTTGCTTTGTGGCCTAACATATGGTCTATCCTTGAGAATGTTCCATGTGCTTAGTAGAAGAATGTGTATTCTCCAGCTGTTGGATAAAATATTTTGCAAATGTCTATTATGTCCAGTTGGTCTATTGTGCTGATTACCTTGGAGGTTTCTTTCTTGATTTTCTGTCTGGACGATCTGTTCATTGCTGAAAGTGGGAAGTAGTTGTCCCCAGCTATTATTGTATTAGAGTCTATCTTGCTCTTTAGCTCTAATAACATTTGCCATATAAAAATATATATATATATATATATATATTCCAGTGTTAGGTGCATAGATATTTAAAATTGTAATATCCTCTTGCTGAACTGACCCCTTTATTATCATATAATTACCTTCCGTTTCTCTTCTTATAGTTTTTTTTTTGTCTTGAAATCTATTTTATCTGATATAAGATAGCTAATCCTTCTGTTTTGGGTTTCCATTTGCATGGAATATCTTTTTCCATCCTTTTTTTCTTTTCATTCTACGTGTGTCTCTACAGGCGAAGTGAATTTCTTACAGACAGCATAGATTTGGGTCTTGTTTTCTTAAATCCATTCAGCCATTCCATATCTTTTATTGGAAAATTTAGTCCATTTACATTAAAGGTTATTATTAATAGTACAAACTTCTTACTGCCATTTTGTCGTTTGTTTTCTGGTTGTTTTGTTGGTCCTCTCTCTCATATATCTTGTGATTTAAGCCTGGGGTCATTGCAGCTGTATCAGCACTTGGGAGCACACTAAACTCGGGAATGATGTGACTCTTGCAGACCCCAAGAGGCACTGTCTTGGTGGGCTTAAGTAAGATAAGAGAGAATTCCCTAGATTACCCCGCAAAGCCTGTTACTTTCCCTCTCTTTCCATTAATTAGAAGCAGCCTGTCTCTCCATGATGGGCTATCTGGAGTTAGGGGAGAGGTCATGTGAACACTCTCATGGCCTCCATGGTTAGGACTGTGCTGTGTCACACCTGAAGCCAGCACAGTACTGGATCTTGCCCAAGGGCCATGGAATCTATTGCCTAGCTACCACTAATGTTTATTCAAGGCCCAAGAGCTTTTTAGTCAGTAGGTGGTGAATCCTGCCAGGACTGGGTCCTTCCTTTCAGGGTTGCGATTCCCTACTGGCCCAGGGTGAGTCAAGGAATGCCATCCAGGAGCTAGGGCCAGGAATTAGGCGCCTCAGGAATTTGCTTGGTGGTTTATTTTACTGTGGCTGAGCTGGTATCCACGTCGCAGGACAAAATCCTCTGTACTCTTCTCTCTCCTTCCCCCAAGTGGAAGGACTGTCTTCCTTGAGATGCACTGCCTGGAGTTGGGGAAAGTGTGACACAGGCCCTATACATCATAGCTGCTGTTGCACTGGGTCATGCACAGTCCACGTCCACTGCCTTTGAGACCAGCACAGCACCAGGACTTGCCCAAGGCCTGCAGTCTTTGTGCCCTGACAGTCACTTAAGTTTATTTGGGGCCCCAGGCCACTTTTGTTGGCTGATGGTGGAGCTGACTGGGACTTGCATTTTTTTTTTTTTTTTTTTTTTGCAAGGGTGCGTAAGTACCCTCTGGCCTTGGGCTGGTGTAGATGCACCGTGGCACCAGCAGAATTCTGCCTTGTATTATGTTCCACTGTGACAGGGCCACTGAGTTCTAATGCAAAGACCCATACTCACCTTGCTCTCCCTCCTCCAAGCACACAGATTCTCTCTCTCCACAAGGCACAGTTAGGGGAGAGGGAAGGGGTGGTGTAGGCAATGCAAGACTGTCTTTCTTATCCTCTTCAATGCCTCCTCCCTTGATATTATATTAAATATTGAAACCAGATAATTTGATCTCTTACATGAGTATTTTTTTCCTATAAAGTTGCTTTCTTGCGTGGATAGTTGTTCAATTCAGTGTTCCTTGCAGGGGGACGATCAGTGGAGGGTTGTAATCAGCCATCTTGCTCCACCTCCGTCCTCTAAACTATTTTTTAAGACTGCACTCTATGTGTTTTGTGGTCATTGAAGTCTGTGTTTTCTTAACTTAGCTAGTGATTTGACAGAAATTTCCTTAGACACTGAGAACCAATAATAATAATAATAATAATAATAATAATAATAATAATAATAATAATAAATGACTTCCTGGCTCTCCTGCTTCTCCTGGTTGAAAGGGTTTGGGGTCTAGACTCCTCACTCAGCCTCTGCCAGTGCTCTGTCCACAGAGGAGGGAATCATCACCTCAGACTACCTGTACTGCTGGATGGAGTTGAAAGTTTGAGCCCCTCACTTGGCCTCCTCTTTCACTGCTGGTGATGGACTGTTTGTGGTGTTTGGCTAGGGTAGTGCAGGTATTGTCAATAAGTTTTCTGTCTTTCTGGGATGTCCCTTTCTTGGTCCTTTGGCTAGAGAGAGCAGACTTTTATTTGGGACTTTTTTTTTGTCTGCCTCTGTTGGTGGTTCTTTGTTACAAGCTTTTCTAACTCCTAGTTTGGGGTATGGGGGAGGTAAAAAGAAAATGCAGGGAACTCCCTGCCATGTTGTTTCTTAAGTTTCAAGGTCCCTAGCCAGTCTGCCTTTTCCTTTCCACTTATATGCAACTTTTTATAATTTTCTGCTGTGGTTTGTCTAGAGTTTTAATTGTAAAAACTTGAGAGGAATGGGGAAAATGATTGTATTTCATCTTGTCTGGAACCCAAAGTCCTCTGTTATCTTTTTTAAAGAGAGGATCATATCTTTCTTTTCCATCCTTACTCTTTGTGTAGCCCTTAAGCATTCCAGCTGAAATTTTGGGGGTTTACCAGGGACACTGACCTTACTGGGCCCCAAACTCCATGATACTGCTGATGAGTAGCTTGTAATCATTTTAACATCTTTTTTTCTGCTTGAGTTCTCCAACACAACCATTTAGAAATCAGTAAATGCCTCCTTGGAAAATGTGGCTCAGACTGTCAGACTCATTTCTTGGCTCTTCTGCTTTCTCCCGGATCTTGGTTTTTCAAAACCTGGGTTATATAAAGCCCTGAACTTTGATTTTTGTTTCACCACCTCTGTGATACTGTAGGAAACTGTGTTCCACTTCTCTGTCTCTTAATCATTGCTTTCTGCTTGACTTTTCAGCCTTTCTGGCTGTGTTAGTTACTTGGTAACTTACCAGTCAGCAAATTCTGACAGGGGTTAAGAAGTATAGTATATCAGGCTCACCTCAGCAAGTTTTCTTTAACTCCAAAATCTTGGCCCTTCAAATCCTATTTGCGTTGGCTCCCTGGTGAAATAACACACACACACACACACACACACGTGTGCACATACACACACGTGTGCACACACACAAGCACACACACATTTTATGGAAGTATTCTAGATTTTCTTGGTGGATGAGTTGGTCTGTTATATAAAGTTGTCCATTATAGCCATAAGCAGAAATTCTTCATAAAGTTTTACAGTTTTCTTCTAGTAAATTTTGTGTATATTTTGTTATATATATTTCTAAGTTTTATAGTTTTTTTGCTAATATGAATGGCTTTTTTCTTCCATTACATTCTCTAGTTGGTTATTGTTGATGTTTGCAAAGGATATTGACTAGTGTATTTTTATTTATTATTTGTCCATCTTATAGTAAACTATTATTCCATTGCAAACTAACACTTTTTCTCTTTTTTCTAATATTTATTCATTCTTTTTTCTTAGCTTAATTCATTGGCCAGAAATTTTAGTACTATATTGAATAAAGTTAGTGTTAGCAGCCAGTTTTATCTCCTTCCCAGCTTTAGAGGGACTCCTTTTAATGTTTCACTACTAAGTAGAAAGTTTTCTGTAGACTTCACATAAATAAAGTATTAACTCTTATAAAATGTCCATCCTATTTCTTCTTATGTTAATATAGCTTCCAAGTTTTCACTAAAATGTAACCTCCTTTATTCAATTTTATACTCTCTTTGGCCTTCTCAAATTATGGTTGGCTTCTTCTTCAAGTGGACAACAATACAGTGCATAAAGTGTTGTCTTTGATATTTAATTATGTTTTATGGTAAATGTTAGTTATGTTTTTGTCTGTCCCCAGGAAGACATTTTTCCTGTTTTATATTTGTATCCCCATTCTTGGTACAGTATCTGTCACATGCTATATAGTCAATATTTTTATATAATTAATTATTTCAACATTTTTATCATAATATTTTACTTCCATATCTGTTGTATATCTTTATTATCCTGAAGGTTTCTGATTCGAAGTAAAACTGAGACATAGGGAAAGAAAGGTGCATAGGGACCCAGTGCTGCTTTTATGCTCCTGCTTCATTCTCAGTTGACATTTCTCTGAATTATAGATTATTAGACTTAGAAGTTTAGTCATCATCTAGTTTGACCAATTCATCTTATAAATGAGGAAATTGAGACTCAGTAGAGGAAGTGAAATGTTCCAAAACTTACGGCTAATTTAAAATCTATTCCTTAAATTTATCTGTGTAGCAAAAAGAGATTACATCACACAGACAATCTTGTTTTCGCTGTATGCTAATTTCCATGAATTTCCTAGTGTCCTTCCCCACCTTGACATGTAGACAGTGTGTGACGGCTGGAGGGATAAGCATTGGCTTAAGGCGTTGGCACAGTCTGCAGAATAGAGAAAAGTTTTCCTCCATCAGCTTCTGGAATAGGAGATTCTGCTTTAGTTCACCATTTATCCAGATATGAACAGTATTCCTTACGGAGGTCCTGTACTATTGTGTTTCTTCATTTGGACATATGAAAGTAGCCTTTGCTTCTTCTACCTGTGGTTGCTTTCTAGCTTCAGATATCATGCTGCATTTATATCTGAGATTCTTGAACTTTGAAATAAAGCTGAACTGTGAAGCTATTGGGAGGGGTATGTGGGTGAGCTGAAGAAGGAGGAAGCAGAGAGGATTAATGGCTTTGGCTGAAACCAGAATGCTCTGGACTTAAGAACTACATGGTTTTTGCTCTTCAGAGAGCTATAGCAGATTCCTAAATCCCTTAGTGCTGGTTTCTACATGGCCTTATCCAAATCTCTATCCTATAGTCGCTGTTCTCCTACAATGGTCTCCAAGCAGACCCTTTGTGAAATTACATTTCTTGCAAATATTCATTCCAAGAGCCTAGGCCAGCCCTGTGCTACATTGGAGGCATCAAACAACAACTCGAGCAAAAAGTATTCCTCCCACTCCCAATAGTATAACTGAATTTTCGCCATCATAGAAAGTTCTTCCAGAAATATTTACATTTTAAGTAAACTATGGAAATATCATTTGACCAAGAGTCAGAGGTTTTCAGTTCAGTCCCTTCTTTTACACTTATTAGTAATTGGTTTGTGAGCAAGTAAAAACCTCTTTGTGTTTTAGATTTTTATCTGTTATGTAAGTTGAAAAATTCTTACCTTGCTTACCTATCATGATTGTGATAAGGATAAAATCTGATAATGAATGGCAAAATACATCATAAGAGCACAGATATAATTTATTATATTAATGTAACATCACTTGCCGCCACTTATTGGATACTCAGTGCATGCTGTGTACTCTAATCAATTTGTAGAGTATATGTGTTTGTGTGTGTGTGTGTGTATATATATATATATATATATACACACATTAAATCATCACACATTCCAAAAGAAAGAACTATTATCCTCCTGTTAGAGATAAAGAGCCTAAGTGTATTATCTTTCTATTGCTGATGTAACAAACTACTACAAATGTAACAGTTTAAAAAAACACACGTTTTATATCTCACAGCTTTATAGATAAGAAGTCTGGTTGGCTGACCTGGGTCCTTTTCTTAAAGAGTCTCACAAAGACGAAGTCAAAATATTGTAAGGGCTACATTATTTTTCTGGAGGCTCTGGTGATGAATATGCTTGCAAGCTCACTCAGGTTGTTGACAGACTTCTGTTTTACGTGGTTGTTAAACTGAGGTCCTTGTTTCCTTGCTGGCTGTTGGCCAGAGTTTTCTTTATCAGCTCTTAGAGGTCACCTACATTCCCTGGATCATGGGATCCCTTCATCTTCAAAAGCATCAATGGAGGATTGAGGACATTTTACACTTTGAATCTCTCCTGCCTCTTCCTCTGCCCCATCTCTCTGATCTCTTACTCTGCCCTTCCTCTTTTGCTTTTAAAGGCTCATGTAATTATATTGGACCCACCTGGGTAATCCAGGATACTATATCTATTTTAAAGTCAGTTGATTATCAACTATTCCATATGCAAAGTCTCTTTGGTTGTGTAATGTTTACATATTCATAGGGATAATACTAGGGGACAGAGATCATGGGGACCAAAATCTTGCTACCACACTAAGAGAGCCACTATTTAATGTTATTTTATTTTATTTTATTTATTTTTGAGACAGGGTCTTACTGTGTTGCCCAGGCGGGAGTGCAGTGGCGAGATCACAGCTCACTGCAGCCTCCAACTCCTGGGATCAAGTGATCCTCCCGCCTCAGCCTTCCAAGTAGCTGGGACTACAGGCACGTGTCACGATGCCCAGCTAATTTTATTTATTTATTTATTTATCTATTTATGTACAGATGGGATCTTTTGCAGAGACTCTATGTTGCCCAGGCTGGTTTCAAACTCCTGGCCTCAAGTGATCCTCCTACCTCAGTCTCCCGAAGCACTGGGAATATAGGAGTGAGCCACTGTGCCCAGCCTACTTGTATTTAAATTTAATGTCTAGGTTCCTAAATGAGTAAATAAAACTAATATTAATAAAACATAAATTAACGTGAGAAAATATTTTATATATTTCAGAGTGACGTGTGTGTATCCTCTTTGCTCAAAAAGAGAGAACCCCTTTCCCCAGTTTCTCTGCCTCATATTTTCACTTGCAATGTTGAGGTCCCCACTGTATGTTGTCCATTTTAGCTCTTCAACATAAAGGCCTTGATTCATACTACAGAAGGTGGTGTTTGTCTGTCTGATGATGTCTTTACCAAATAGGTAAGTCACTAGGGTTCCCTTAGGTTGGGGCTCTAGGGGTGCTCAGAACTTCAAAGCTATTCCTGTAGAGTTTTGCAGTCTTCCTTCTAGCTATTGCAAAATCACCTCGCTATGTCTGACTGGATCCTCTTACTCAATGTCCCAGCATCAATTTCACTTCCAATCTTGATTCTAGTTTAGTCTTTTTAAATCCAATCTGTATCTAGCAATCAGAAAGCTCTCTCTAATATGCAAATCTGCTAGTGTGACAGCATTCTTCAGTGGTTTCTCTTTTCTCTAAAAATCAAACCTAAACTCTTTGAAGTGGCTTGTGAGACCACACATGAACTGTTTCTGCTTACCTCTCTGGTTTTATTTCTATCCACTCTCCTCTTATTTCTCTTTGCTTCAGAAGTACTGAACTACTTTCATATTTTCTAGCCTAGTATGATCTTTGGCTCCCTTTGGTCTTCATATGTGATAGAAAATTCTTCCGCTTCTTTTTATTTTTTTTAAAATCTGAGCTTCACCAGTTCCTACTCAGAAACTTCCCAGTGATATCTTCCTCTATTCCCCAAATCATACTTCATAATAATTAGCATTTCTTTCCAGTAAACTATCAACCCCTTAAAGTTGAGAATCCTTATTTTGTTGAATACTGTGTTGTCTGAATTTAGCACAATTGTAAAATATTTTCTGAGAACATGAATACATGGATTAAACTTGTGTCTGTTTGAGCATTATACTCACCTAGCCTGAGTGGCTGTGATGGCACACCTCTATTATCTTAAGATACTTCCAAGAATTAGGACTGAGATTGTCTCTTTCCTCAGCCCTGATCTGTGTGAGTCTTTACTAGATAGAGTAGGAAGCTTGCCTCTTGGGAACTAGATTATCTGACCAGAAATTAGTTCTCCCCAAGCCATCAATCAAATTCTTTTTGCTTCTTCTGAGAAAGTAAAATGTTTTATCCCCTTGCAGGCTGAGTGCATATTGATATATCATGACTATCTCCACACACATCTTGGAGACACATTCCCACACCATGATTGCTTCTTTTCTGTGTTCCTTAACTGTAACCACCTGATTCTCTTCCATGCTTGTTTGCTTGTGTACTATGGTATTCTGAGCACACAACATGGTTGTATGCTTTTTTTAAAAATATTCTTGAGCAAATGTATTTATTTATTGGTATGTGCAATCACAAACTTGGTATTTTCCTATGTTGACATTATGTATGTTATAGAATTTAATGTTTGTCTAAGTAGAAACATATATCAGCAAATTAAATCTGAATTGTTTCAAAACTTCTGTACTTTTTATATAAAAGGAGAAAAATATGTCTCTTTCCTAATAGTTTTTTTTCTATACCCTTCATTCTG
This sequence comes from Homo sapiens, assembly GCF_000001405.40. NCBI lineage: Eukaryota > Metazoa > Chordata > Mammalia > Primates > Hominidae > Homo > Homo sapiens. The sequence continues at coordinate 13,668 of NW_025791818.1, read as the reverse complement.
TTTTCTAAGAGCCTCAGGTTGTTAGATGGGTGGCAGTAACAAAGAGATCATAGCTAGTTTAGAACCAATGACATATGGGTCAACACTGTCCTCCCTCTCATAAGAACCACAGCCAAAGGCTGGGAAGGGCCAGAAAAATGGTGAGGTTAGAAGTTATTTAAGTTAGAGCAATTCTCTTTAGGGTCTGCTGTGTCATCTGGAGGAATAGATTGGTGGTTCTGAAGTATCCCTTGTGGGCCTGGCCCTTAGGAACAGAACAGGGCTGTAGAGCCCAAAAAAAAAAAAAAAAGGTGGAAAAACTCCAGCTGGCAGATATAATATGAAAGCCAAGCCACTTGAGCTATCTGACCTTATTCAGAGCCTAACCCATTTAAACAGGACTTAGGCATGCTTGGGAATCTTTTTTGTTTCCTTAGGCTGAGGCAGAATTGAAACCAAGAGGAAAGGAGGTTGCAGTTGTGGCCACAAGTAGACATAAAAGCTAATGGTCTGATCCTGAGGGAAGAGATTATAACTAAAGTCACCCAAATAAAGACTGCAGAATGGCCCTGGGCCATTCCTAACAGTCAGGGTAGCCTTAGAGGGTGTCAATTGTGATAGCCCAGCAGCAAAGGACTTGATGACAGAGTAATAGTGCTGTTGATGACATTGTCACCAAGCACCTACTACATGCTTCACCTTGGGATAGATACTTCGACAGTATCTTATTTAATCCCGACAGCTCGATAAGGTGGTTATTGTGCCCGATCCATAAATGTGAGAAATGGTGCTCTGAGAGAAGTTGAAGAGACATAATAAACAGGAGAAATTTCTCCTTTCGTGTAAGAAAATTAGAAAGAAAAGAAAAATAAAATAGGGGAAAATAAGTATATTTTAGAAAGGTTAATGGTCGAGGCAAAGTCATAGATGGATCATTCAAGATTTTTTCTCAATATTGCTGAATGGCTGAAGTACTAAATGTTTATTCGGAATACAAATAGTCTGGAGTGAAGAGGACTTTAAGAGGGTAGTAATAAGTAGAGTTTGTTTACTCCCCGAGATCTAGAGTTTTGATGTGATCAAGAACATTTCCTACCTGAAGCATAACCTGTCACCTGTGGCTTCTGCTTCTGTTAGAAATAGCATTTGCAGGATATTCTAAAAAGGAAAAAGATTTTTGTTTGGTTATCAGGTTGAAGAGAAATCTTAAATGACCATAGGCAGGGTGACCATATGTCTACTATAGTCCTGGTTTACACCTATTATCTTGGCATATTAAAGTTTGCTTTTTCCAAAGTGTCCAAGTTTTGGCCATAAGTTATTTGATCACTGAAGCCACAGAAGGTGTAAAGAGTGTGGTTCTCACAAGCCGTCTCTTATAGAAGCCAAATATGCCTTCACTCCTCAGTGCATTTCCCTGGGACCAGCTTCTGCAGAGATTGTATGCCTTTAGACTTAGGGTAACCTACTCTTGCACCATGGCCTTTGGCTCACACACCAATGCTGTGTTAACATGATATGTTGCGTGATTCTATGGTTATCTTTCCCTGAAGTATTGCCCTTTGTCACTGTAATATGATTCTGCATGCTTAGGTATCCAAGCAAGCACCATGGCCTTCTGATCCTGAATTATAAGTATCTGCTCCTATATAAGAAGAGTTTATGCACATGAACGTGAACCATGTTTATGATGTCATATGTCATGATTTTCAAGCATGTTAGTTATATTTGCCCATGTATCAAGCCAGAGCCAGTGACTTCTGTGTTAGGTGCAATTTACCTTGTTTAAAGTTTATCTGAACATTTACCATGATGGTATACACCTGTCCCGGAGCTTAAGGCTATTGTGTTGTGATTTCCAACTCATGAATTATTTTCTTGGCATGTTGCATTGTTTAACATATCAATGTAGTATCCTCATGTACAATGTTGACTATAGTCACAAGGTATTTGGATGATTCTACTACTCTCTACTTCTAATAATAGATGATTGTGAGCACACTGTACTATGGCTGTCAGTTCATACATCATGACTTCCTGATAATATTTAGGGGTTTTCTGAGTGTGATTTTTGTTCAGGTGGTAAAACTACAGGGGGAGATATTTATACACCATGCAGTCATTTAAACATGTCTCAGAGTCCTTTTGTAACAATGTCATCTGTATTTGTTTCCCAAGGATGCCACAACAAAGTGCTTTAAACTAGGTGGCTTAAAACAACAGAAATGTTTTTCTCACAGTTCTGGAGGCTAAAAGTTCTAAATCAAAGTGTCAGTAAAGCCGTGCTCTCTCTCGAGCCTAGCAAAGGAGTCATCCTTGCATTTTTCAGCTTCTGGTAATCCCAAGTGTTTCTTGGCTTGTGGCAGCATCACTCCAATCTCTAACTTCATTGTCATATGGTTTTCTCTCGTTGTCTGTTATATCTAAATTTCCCCCTTCTTATAAAGACACCAGTGATTGGATTTAGGGCTGACCCTAATCCATTATAAAGGCATCTTAACTTGATTACATCTACAAAGACCCTATTACCAAATAAAGTCACATCCACAGGTACTGGGAGTTATAACTTCAGTGCCCCTCTTTTGTAGAACACAATTCAACCCATAATAGCATTTACATTTGGAGACATTTGCTTTTATGTTATAGCTTTTAAATTAGGCATGTGTTCATCCGAGGAAGCACTACAGCTTAGTTCTCTGTTCATATATCACTGATGTTTGAGATTGATCTGTGATTGACCAACTTCTATGTCATGGTTATCACACTGTGCAGCATGTTACTAGCTCATATATCAGTCATGTCGGGCTCCTACTTCAACATTGCTTTTTGCTCTTGTACTATATCCAACTGTTCCTGTATTTTGCGTATTTACAGCGATATAGTCTTGGGATATAGTCTTCTCTATTATCATTCATTACCTCACATTTTATGGTTGTTAAGTTGTGCACCATGATCAGATGCTCAAACAAAAGAGCCATCTGAGCATATGGCATGAGGTGTCATTTTGCACCACTGTCATCTTATCCTTAACTGAAAACTTGATTCAGTATTGTGGATATCGGATAGGGACATGCGTCTGAATGGATACCACTCCTGAAGGATAGCCAACTGCTTGTGTATTTTATGTGTATACTAATTGATTCTCTGTGTATACATCATAGATATTGCTCACCCATCATTAATGTGTAAAAAATAAACATAATCTCCTTCTGTGTGGAGAATGATAACTTTAATAACATGAATATTAGTTCCTGAATTGTGGTCACTGGCTCCTGCAGAATGGGTATTTTCTCCATATTTGCTGTCTGTTCCTGTATCATGCTTACTAACTGTATCATAGCTGTTAGTTTGTGTAATGGGATCGTTTGGATTTATATCATGCCCAAACACAAATGTGTAGAGTCAATCACCATGGTTATTTTTTTTATGAGTCATTATGTCCATGTGAGTCTTTTTTTTGTACCACTGTCATCTTCTCTTGGGCCAAAGTCATTAATTGCTTGCATGGTTATTTTTGATTACATACCATATCTACCCAAGTAAGAATCACACCATGTTTTATTTCCATATCATGTCCATCTGCACCTGTGTCATAATTGATAGCCTATGTCCTGTAGGTGTCTGACTGGACCTCATGAACACATATTAAAACATGCTTTTTGGCATCTTATTCATCTGAACATCCTGTATTATTTTGATCTTCTTTTTGACAAAATGCCATACATACCCGTATTTTTTGTATCACCTGAGCAGTTTTTACTCTGTGATTCTTTCCTGGGATACCATATCTATCCCCTTTTTCATGTATGAATTGACCTATTCTCCATGATAATATAAACATACATAATGAATTTGTGCTCATATACTGTGATTGAAGTTGTACTACGTATTTAAACTTAAACACCACACTTGTGTGAAAATACACAATCATTGTCTACTTGTACTGGGAATGAGTATTTTGTACTATGTATATTAATTTCTACACCATGTCTTTCACTATTGTGATGAGTTTTCTCTGTCCTTTGTCATCTGTCTACTCCCTATAACCTGGTATCAGCTCATGTTGCAGATCTTCTGTGTGTGCATCGTGGTCAAATGCTCAGACTCCTGTGGTGGCTGCTTATGCACCACGGATGTTTGAGCATGTGCTATGGTGTCTACTTTTGCAACATTGCCATCTGCTTCTGGAACAAAGCCACTCATTTTTCTGCTCTGTTTTAAAATCTGGTATCATGTCTGTCAGAAGAATCACAGCATATTGTCATTTATTGTCATATTTACAATAATGGATAGTGGAGCCAAAATGACTGAATTTGAATCCTGGATTATCCACTTACTAGCTATGAGATCTTGGACACATCAGTTCATGAAATGGACACATCAATTCGTATCTTCATGCTTCAGTTTCCTGCAAAATGACAAAAAAAGTAGTAAGGTTATTGTGAGGATTGTATAAGCTATTATACATAAAATATTTTTAATACTGCCTGGCAGGTAGTGATGATGATGATAACAATGATGATGATGATGATGACATGACAATGATGATAATGATACTGTGTCCCTTGATCGTGTATAATAATTGTCAGCTCAAATTCTGGAGTTCTCTAAGTGTGCATTATGGTCAAATGCTGATACTTGTGATAGTGTTTAAAGCATCATTATATAAGTATATGCCATGGCAGTCATTTGAATCGTTGCCATCTGTAGTATTCTATTAGCTACTGCACTATCGTTTTCTGCTATTTTATTATCAGCATCTTCTTCAATATCCTTGTTCATCTGCTCCTATATTATGGTCATCAGCTTATTTTTGTTGGGATATCTGGGTGTACATCGTGGTTTAACAGTCAAATATTAGTGTTAGTTGCTCATGCACCATGATTGCCTGAGTATGTGCCATGATATCTCCTCCAGCATCATTGTCATATGCTGTTTGCCTAAATAAGTTGTATTCATGTGTTATGTTTCCTTTATTCATATGTCCTGTCCATCTGGGCATATTCCTCATTGTGTTATTCACTCTTGTATCACACCCACCTGCTTTTATATTGTAGGTTTTTGCTCATGCACCATGGTTGTCTGAGCATGCAGCATGCTTGTCTGCTCATACCCCATGGTTTCTGAGCAGGAACCTTCATTGTCTACTGCTTTACAGGGAAATAGTGTTTTATGCATCGTGTATATGAGTTTAGTATTTACTCATATTCTATGACTCTCTACTCTTAGATCACTTCTGCCTTTTTCTGCACATTGTTTATCTGTTCCAAAAAGACAGATGTTATCTCATGTCACTGGGCTTTCTAATTGTACATCAGTCAAATGCTTAAATGCCTATGATGTGATGGCTGTTCATGCAACATGGCTGTTTCAGCATATATCATAACTTCACCCGTTTAATCATTGCCATCTTCTCCCAGACTAAAGAAAATAATGATTTTTAATCACCAACCATATCCGTTTTGGTAATCATGGTTTCATGTCTACCTGCTCCTGTATCATTCTTTTACTTTATGTCGTGGGATTGTGTAGGTAGCCATCATAGTCAAATGCCCAAATACTAGTGGTGGCTGTTCATGCAATGGTCATCTGAGTATATGGTGTCAGGTCTCTTTTGACATATCTGACATCTACTCATGGACAAAGCTGTTTACCCCTGTACCGTGGCTCTTGTATAAGGCACAATATCTGTCTAAGTAAGCACCACAGCATGGTTTTATTCTCCGAAAACAAGTTTGTGTGCTGTATCTATCTATGCCTCTTAGCTCCTTTGGCATAAATGCTACGTAATAGTGTAAACTACTTTTGTGTACCTGTGTAAGTCAAGATCAAACAGTCAAATATCACTAATGGCTTTCATCAACTTTTGTCTGAACATGTTACACGGTGGGTCCTCTATGCACCTTTGCCACCTACATTTGAAATAATCATTCATGTATTGAGATGTTTTGATCTTGTACTATATCCATCTATGAGGTCTCCACTTATGATTATTTTCTCATAAGATGTCTCTTGGCTCTAAGTGAGCCCTGGCTAATTTTCCATGGTTGTATGAATGTGCTTATGCCCTTTAGCTATGGTCTTCTGCTCATTCATCATGATTTGTGAAAATGCACCATCGTTGTCTACATTGTACTAAAAATGGAATTTTCTGTACCATGAATATAATTTTGTGCACCATGATTTTTTGTCATACAGTGTGTTTGCCTCCTTCTTCGTCCTCAGTATCTACTCCTATATATTGGATGTCAGCTTCTGTTGCAGAACCTGAGTGTGCATCGTGGTCAAATGCTCAGACTCCTGTGGTGGCTGCTCATGCACCACGGATGTTTGAGCATGTGCTACGGTGTCTACTTTTGCTACATTGCCGTCTGCTTCTGGACCAAAGCCATTTGTTCCTGTGCTCTGTGTTTCTAATCTTGTATCACATCCATATGAGGAAGCATGGCACCATCAGTGTATGTGCACAATGCTCACTGCTTGGACTTAAATCCCAGTTCTCCTATTTAATAGTTTGAAATTCTTGAGGAAGTCATTTCACCCTTCTGTTTCTGTTTTCTAAACTGTAAAATAAATAATAATACCTCATAGAGTTGTGAGGATTCAAAGATGCACATGTAGAATGCTTAGATTAGTGCCTGACACATATAAATGATAAGTATTTGCTGATATTGTTATATTATTTGTATTATGTCTCTTTATTCTTTATCATGACTTTTAGCTTGCATTCTGAGAATGTCTGGTTGTGTACCTTAGTCACATGCTAAATTACTGGTGGTGGCTGTCCATTCAGCATGGTCGTCTGATGTTATACCTTGGTTTTTCCTTTTGCACATATACCCTTTACTCCTTTGGCAAAGTCATTCATTGCTGTGTTGTATTTCATTATTCATCGTGTCTTTCTGAGAAAGAATAGCACAGTAGTTGACTACTATTCTATTTCCACCTGTACCTGTATCATAATTGATAGCTCACCTTTCAGTGTATATTGGTGTGTATTGTGGTTAAATTCTCAAACACCAGTGGTAGTTTTTCTTCCATGTGATCATTGGAGCGCATGTCATGGTGTCTCCTACCATTGCCATCTCCTCCTAAACCAAGGAATTCTTTCCCGTATTGTGGCTTTTCGATTATATATTGTGATCATCTGTACAATTTCAACTATGTGGCTATTTTCTTTGTGTCATGTCTGTTTTCTTTTATGTGTAAGTATTGGCTCATTCTCCATGGTAGACTGAGCACGCGTAAGGAATTTCTGCTCATATATTGTGTATGGGGTTGTACTATAGACTTTCGCTCATACACTATGGTTGTGTAAAAATGCAGTTGTCATTGTCTACTCCTGAACTGATAAAAGGATGGAATCATCTGTATCATGAATAACAGTTTGTTAATTTTGACAGTATCGTGTTTGCCTGTGCTTCTGCCATCCTGAATGTCAGTTCATATTGCAGGATTATCTGAGTGTGCCTGTGGTCAAATGTTCTGACTATTGTGACTGCTCATACACCAAGAATGTCTGGCAATGGACTATATATTTATTTATGCAACAGGAATTATTGTCTCTATCAGCAATATAGCCATTAATTCCTCTGTTAAGCATGTGTTTTTTAATTTACCATATCCATTAGAGGTAGCATAGCACCACTGATATATAATAAGGGTAGACTGCATTATATACAAATCACTTTTTTTTGTTTTTCCCTAAAATAATAACATCTACCTCATATGCTTGTTTTTTTAAAGTGCTTAGTGCTTGGTATGTAATAAGTTCTAAATAATTATAATTTTTAATAATATCCTCATCATCGTTATCATCGTTATTATACTAGAATTTTTTCTTCATTCTCTATCATGGTTGGCAGCCTATGTTCTGGGATTATCTTGGTGTGTGTTATAGTCTAATGGTTAAGCACTGGTGGTGGCTTTACAATGCACAAATGTTGTACAACCATTTGCCTTGATGTCATCTATAGGGCCATTGCCATCTGCTCCTGGACTATTTCATGCCATCTTATTTTGAAAATATTGTACCATGCCCCTCTCGGTAAGTACCAGTCTATGGCTTTCTTGACCTACCATTTCTAATTTTTCCTCAAACATACTTGTATGTGCATCACCATAGTTATCTAATGTGCTCACATACCATGGTTTTCTGCATAAGGCATAATTGTGTCTACTGTTGTAATGAGATAGCCATCATTCATGTTATTGAAATAAGTTTATATATCAAATTTATTTCATTTGAATTCCCTTTTTATGGTTTCCTGTCATTGCTGTCAGTTTCTGTATCACATCCTTTAGCTCTGTGTCCTTACTCTCAGCATACACTTTATAGTTATCTGATTGATGACTTTGACGAGCTGAGAGAAGAAGGCTTCAGACGATCAAATTACTCTGAGCTATGGGAGGACATTCAAACCAAAGGCAAAGAAGTTGAAAACTGATTGTATATTAGAAGTTCAAACACCAGGAATGTTTGTTCATACCACATTGCTATTTAAATATATACTGTGTTGTTTTACTTTTTACTATTGCCATTTACTTTGCCCCCAAATCTTTGTTCCTGTGTTGTATTTTTTTAATCTCAAATCTTATCCATGTGAACAAGCTCTAAACGATGTCTCTCTGCTCCTATATTTTTTTTTATCATTTACCATGCTTCCCTTCCATGTACCATATATAAAAAATCACAATTTTCTAAGCATGAGCCATTATAGTTTGATCCTGCACCGAAAATGCCATCTTCTGTGTATTGGACTATGTATTAGCTGATGCATGATGGTTTTTAGGTCCGGCACTGAGGTATTCTTCCCCTCCATCAGTGTTGTCTCCTTCTATATCATCTTCTCATAACATAGTCAAGAGCTCATTTTGCAGTTGTCTTAGGGTACATTGTGATCATATGGTATTCATGATCTCCTTTTGCATCATTGCCATCTGCTACATTCCTTCATATATCAATTACTGTCTGCACTTAGGCTGCATAGATGTGTTCTTGAATCATTGCTATCTCCTCTTATATAGCTGCTGTCATCTGATTATGCATCACGGTCAAATCCTCAGCCTCTAGTAGTGCCGCTTCATCACGCAGCATGGTTGTCTGGGAATGTGCCGTGGGATCTCCATTTGCATTAATTCCTTCAGCTCCTGGACCAAAGCCATTTTTAAAAATTCATGTTCTGTGTATCACATAACACAGTATTTGTGATTGCACCTGTACTATGTCCATTTATTTCTGCATCATGGCTACTTCCTCCTGTTTCGTAAGTTTCAATTCATAATCTGAGGTTGTTTGTTATGTATCATGGTCAAATTATAAAACGCTGTTGATGGATATTTATGTGCTATGGTCTTCTTGATCTATGCCGAGGTTTTCTTTTTTATACCATTACCCTCTACTTCTGGACCAAAGCTACTACTTTCTATGCCTTGTGTGTGTTTAAGTCAAGCAACACATATACTTCAGTAAGCAGATCATTAGTGACATCTCCTTCTGTCTTAAGTTGTAGAGTTGTGCATATTTACTATGTGTATCTATGCCTGAACTATGATTGTCTACTATAGTACTAAGAATGAAGTATTATAAGCCCTAGATGGTTAGCTCATATACCACATTTGCCTGCTCTTCTATTACCATTCTTTTCCTTTTTCATCTCCAAATGTCTACTGTTGCATGCCTTGCAGCAAATGTGGCAGAGTTGTTTGAGTGTCCATTATAATGAATTTTTCAAACTTAAGTGATAGCTGTTCATGTACCCTGTGTGCTTGAGCATGTATTAGTATAATCTTTTGCATGGTTGCATCTGATCCTGAAGCAAATCCATTTGTTTCATAATTTTAAAAATACATGCAGTATCTGCCTGAATAATAACCATCCTATAGTTGTGTGCTCCAGCACTATTATGACATGTTTCATGATTTAATGACTTCATATTATTGGTGAAAACATCATTACTTCACTATGGATATCTACTTATTTACCATTGCAAATTTAGTATTCATTCTAAATAGTAGTGTTCTTGGAATAGTGATATCTTCTCATAAACAGTGGTTGTCAACTTACGCATTGTGAATATCGGCTCATTTATGGTCAGGGTTATCTGAACACATGCAGGGTGAGAATCTATAGTTGGCTACTGATTATTATTATGGACCACTAAGTTATGCAATTCAATGGTAATGCTCTTAAGAATGTTTATTTGTCCACTTTGATGATCATACATAGAAAATACACCATGATCAGGTGGGCACTCATTGATTGAACGCTCCTGTGCTATAGTTATTCTCTTTGATAATATTTGTTTCAATTCCATTCTCTGTTTTCATTGTATTACGACATTGGACAAGACACTCTATCTCTTTGATTGAAAACTTATATTTCTGGGTTATATATCCTGACTTTCAAATATATTAATATATCATATACATTTTTCCACATAAAATAGTTCTAAAATGTAATTTTCACCTGTATAATATTTAGATGTATCAACGACCATTGTTTATTTAACCATTCTGTTAGTATGCACATTCAATTTATTTTTTAAAATTTAACTAATATACTGTTATATTGCAGAAAATATATTTGAACATGACTTTTTTGAATCTTTGGTTTTTTTCTGTCCAGTAGATTCCTAGAAGTGCAGTTACTGAGTCAAAGCATGGATTTTTTTTTACAGGCTTTTTATTCATGCTGCAAGATTGTTTACAAGGAAGGAAGCATAGATTTACGCTCACACTAGCAGATATATGGAATTCTTGTCTCGTCCTATCTTCAACAGAATTGTTTAGCATTTTTTTAAAAAGCTTTTGTTCATTTGATAGGTGGAGTGATGCCTTGTTGCTTTAATTGCATTTCTTCAATCAATCTTAAGACTAAGTTTTTAAGGATATATATCAATGTAATCAACAATCTGAAATTTTTATTATTCAACTGTGCATAGGACTTACTTTTCTGTGTTTTAGCTTAAAATATGAAACACTATATATGTAAATATAATTATCACACAAAGATGCACGCTGTTTTAGAATAATTAAGAAGTGAACACCTGTAGAACCACTAAGTCAACAGCTATAACATTGTGGGTACTCCAGAAGCCTGTAACGAACTTATTTCTAATTTCAACCTTTTCTTTCCCACTTTACTTCCACTATCCTTAATCTTACTTTTAAAAATAACTTTATTATATGTATAACAAAATACACTTTAGTTTTGCTGTTTTTGAACTTTATATGAATGGAATCATGATTTTCCTTTGTGGCTTCTTTATTATTATTATACTTTAAGTTTTAGGGTACATGTGCACAATGTGCAGCTTAGTTACACATGTACACATGTGCCATGCTGGTGTGCTGCACCCATTAACTCGTCATTTAGCATTAGGTATATCTCCTAAAGCTATCCCTCCCCCCTCCCCCTACCCCACAACAGTCCCCAGAGTGTGATGTTCCCCTTCCTGTGTCCAAGTGTTCTCATTGTTCAATTCCCACCTATGAGTGAGAATATGCGGTGTTTGATTTTTTGTGCTTGCGATAGTTTACTGAGAATGATGATTTCCAATTTCATCCATGTCCCTACAAAGGACATGAACTCATCATTTTTTATGGCTGCATAGTATTCCATGGTGTATATGTGCCACATTTTCTTAATCCAGTCTATCATTGTTGGACATTTGGGTTGGTTCCAAGTCTTTGCTATTGTAAATAGTGCCACAATAAACATACGTGTGCATGTGTCTTTATAGCAGCATGATTTATAGTCCTTTGGGTATATACCCAGTAATGGGATGGCTGGGTCAAAAAGTATTTCTGGTTCTAGATCCCTGAGGAATCGCCACACTGACTTCCACAATGGTTGAACTAGTTTACAGTCCCACCAACAGTGTAAAAGTGTTCCTATTTCTCCACATCCTCTCCAGCACCTGTTGTTTCCTGACTTTTTAATGATCGCCATTCTAACTGGTGTGAGATGGTATCTCATTGTGGTTTCGATTTGCATTTCTCTGATGGCCAGTGATGGTGAGCATTTTTTCATGTGTTTTTTGGCTGCATAAATGTCTTCTTTTGAAAGTGTCTGTTCATGTCCTTCGCCCACTTTTTGATGGGGTTGTTTGTTTTTTTCTTGTAAATTTGTTTGAGTTCATTGTAGATTCTGGATATTAGCCCTTTGTCAGATGAGTAGGTTGTGAAAATTCATGAGTGAACTCCCATTCACGATTGCTTCAAAGAGAATAAAATACCTAGGAATCCAACTTACAAGGGACGTGAAGGACCTCTTCAAGGAGAACTACAAACCACTGCTCAACGAAATAAAAGAGGATACAAACAAATGGAAGAACATTCCATGCTCATGGGTAGGAAGAATCAATATCGTGAAAATGGCCATACTGCCCAAGGTAATTTATAGATTCAATGCCATCCCCATCAAGCTACCAATGACTTTCTTCACAGAATTGGAAAAAACTACTTTAAAGTTCATATGGAACCAAAAAAGAGCCCACATCGCCAAGTCAATCCTAAGCCAAAAGAACAAAGCTGGAGGCATCACACTACCTGACTTCAAACTGTACTACAAGGCTACAGTAACCAAAACAGCATGGTACTGGTACCAAAACAGAGATATAGATCAATGGAACAGAACAGAGCCCTCAGAAAGAACGCCGCATATCTACAACTATCTGATCTTTGACAAACGTGAGAAAAACAAGCAATGGGGAAAGGATTCCCTATTTAATAAATGGTGCTGGGAAAACTGGCTAGCCATATGTAGAAAGCTGAAACTGGATCCCTTCCTTACACCTTATACGAAAATTAATTCAAGATGGATTAAAGACTTAAACGTTAGACCCAAAACCATAAAAACCCTAGAAGAAAACCTAGGCATTACCATTCAGGACATAGGCATGGGCAAGGACTTCATGTCTAAAACACCAAAAGCAATGGCAACAAAAGCCAAAATTGACAAATGGGATCTAATTACACTAAAGAGCTTCTGCACAGCAAAAGAAACTACCATCAGAGTGAACAGGCAACCTACAAAATGGGAGAAAATTTTCACAACCTTTGTGGCTTCTTGCTTGTTAATTTAATGTTAGGTTTGTGAGATGTGTACAGGTTGTTGCATGTAATTGTAGTTCATTCTGTTTCATTGTGGTATGGTATTCCTTTGTATGAATACAGCACAATGTATTCATTCTATTGTAAGATAGACCTTCAGATTGTTTCCAGTTCTGTTTTTACAGAACAGTGTTTCTATGAACATGCTTTAACAATTATCCTGGTGCATCAATATATGTTTCTTTAACATATATGTCTAACAGTAGAAATAGTACATCATGTATATGTGTATCATCAAATTTATAGTCTAATGCCAAACTTTTCTCCAAAGAGTTTGTACCATTTTATACTCCTACCTGAAGTGTAAGAGATCTCTTGTGCTTCATTATTCTTGCCAAACTTTGTATTATGAGACTTTAAATTTTTTTGTCAATCAATTAGTTTGTGGTGAGAGCTTATTTTCTAATTTCTAATTTCTAAATTTCTAATTTTCATTATCATGATTATTAATGAGGCAAACACTTTTTCTTATGGTTAATGACAATTTGACCTTCCTTTTTTGTGAAGTGCCTTTTTAAGTCTTTTGTCCATTTTTCTATTGGATTTTCTCTCTTTTTCTTATGATGTTGTAGG